>NT_187657.1:0-214625 GCF_000001405.40 Homo sapiens | reverse complement strand
GAATTCACTCACTATGGTGAGGACAGCATCAAGCCATGAGATCTACACGCATGAGCCAAACACCTCCCACCAGGCCCTCTCCACCACTGGGGATCGCTGCAACATAGATTTGGCAGGGACATGTGTTCAAACTATATCAGTTTTAAATACCATCTTTTTGCCGATGCTTCTCAAATTTATATCTCTGCCCTAGACCTCATCTCTGAACTCCAGACTCACACAAATTGCTATGCCAAATATCTGCTATATATCTAAAGGGCATTCCTACCTTGACATGTCAGAAATTGAACTGCTAAACGAGTCTTCCTTTTGCAGCCTTCTACAACTCCCTGTTCAGTTGATCAAACCCCAAAAACCTTGAGATCATGTCAAGTTCCATGCTTTTTATCACATTCTACACCTGATCCCAGCAAACACCATCAGCTTCACCTTCCACGCCTGTCCAGGAGCTGGTCAGGTCTCACTACCTTCACCACTGCTGCCCTGGTCCAAGCCACCCTCACCCTCCCCTGGACCATTCAATCCACCTCTCTCTGCCTGTTCAACTATCTGTTCTTTTTTTTTTTTTTTTTTTTTTTTTGAGATGGAGTCTTGCTCTGTTGCCCAGGCTGGAGTGCAGTGGCACAATGTTGGCTCACTGCAACCTACGCCTCCTGAGTTCAAGCGATTCTCCTGCCTCAGCCTCTTGAGTAGCTGGGATTACAGGTACACACTACCACACCTGGATAATTTTTGTATTTTTAGTAGAGACAGGGTTTCACCATGTTGGTCAGGCTGATCTCAAACTTCTGACCTCATGATCTGCCTGCCTTGGCCTCCCAAAGTGCTGGGATTACAGGCGTGAGCCACCATGCCTGGCCCCTGCCATCTGTTCTTACACAGCGGCCAGCACTGCCTCGTTCACATATGTCATATCACGTTCATCTTTCCGGCTCTAAATGACTAAAAAGCACCCACAGAGCCTGCACCGTGCTCCTGGATGGTCTCCTCTGACCGTATGTCCTCCCCTTCTCTCTCTGTGATCTGCTGCCCCTACTCTGCACCTAGTCCTCAGAAGCACCGGGCCCTGCACAGACAGCTCTATGCTCCCAGGACATGCCTCCCTGCAGATGAACACATGGCCGAGTCTGTCACATTCTTCCGATCTTTCCTCAAATACCTCCCACCCCACAAGGTCTTCCCTGGCCACCGAGCTAGACTTGCACCTCCTACAGCACTCTCTGTTCCCCTGAGCCTGGCCACCAAGCTAGACTTGCACCTCCCACAGCACTCTCTGTTCCCCTGAGCCTCTTCAGGTTTCTTTTTAGCACACTGAGCACATTACATATTTGACTTATTTATCGTGTTTATTTTCTGTATCTTCTCCCTACAATGTAAGCTGCGTGAGGACAGAGACTCTGTTTTATTCCTTGTGATATACGCAGGACCTAGAACAGCAACTACTCAGAGCAGACACTAAGTAAATATTGATTGATGATTGATTGATTAAGGAATCTGTCTACCCATCTACCATCCAGTGGTCTACACTACACCAACAACCCTCCTTCCTTTCTCTTATCCACCAATCTTAGCCATCCAAAACACATCATAAATTCATTGATCTACCTGTTCCACCCATTCAGCATATGGATCTGTCCCAGCCATCCAGCATCCGTTACTATATCCAGCCATGGACCTGCTCCAGCCATCCAGCGTGCATTCAGAAACCCATCTGTGCACCTGCCCTTCCAGTCTGGCATCCGTTCCTATATTCCTGTAACCACCTGTCCATTCATTCAAACCACGTGGAGTTCCATTCTTTTTTTTTTTTTTTTTTTTTTTTTTTTGAGACGGAGTCTCACTCTGTCACCCAGGCTGGAGTGCAGTGGCACGATCTCAGCTCACTGCAACCTCTGCCCTCCGAGTTCAAGCGATTCTCCTGCCTCAGCCTCCCAAGTAGCTGGAATTACAGGTGCCTGCCCCTGCTAATTTTTTTGTATTTTTAGTAGAGACGGGGTTTCACCATCTTGGCCAGGCTGGTCTTGAACTCCTGACCTCATGATCCACCCGCCTCGGCCTCCCAAAGTGCTGGGATTACAGGCGTGAGCCACCATGCCTGGCCTCCATTCTTTTTATCACACTGCAAGCCTGATCCCAGCAAACACTGTCAGCTCCACCTTCAACACATGTCCAGAAGTTGGCTCTGTCTCATCACCTTCTCTGCCGCTGCCCTGGTCCAAGCCATCATGGACACATGAGCACACATTCTCGTGTATTCACCTATTTGCCTGTCCTGCCCACCGAACATGCTCTTACATATCCACACATCACCTCCCATCCAGCAGCCGTTCACTTACCCGCTTACCCAGATGCCCCACCCATGTGGCATACACTTGCATATCCATCTGTCCACTTGGACATATATTCATATGTTCGTCTATGCACCTGTTACCCCACCCAGCATATACAGACGGTCCCCATCTTATGACGGTTCGACGTATGCTTTTTCAACTTCACAATGGCAGGAAAGCCATAGGCACCCAGTACACTCCTCAGCTTACCAGGCTTGTGAAAAACACATCATACGAAAATGCGTATGAAACTTTTACCTTATGACACTTTAAACTTATGATGGGTTTGTTGGACTGTAGCCCCATTGTACATCAAGAAGCATTGTATTCATAAATTCAGCTCTCTCCCTGTCCCACTCATCCAACGTACATTTTATATCCGTCCAGCCCTCCTCCCCACCCAGCACAAGTTTCTACATCCATTTCTCTGTCCCATACACCCAGTCTCCATCCGTATAACCCCTCAGCTTCATCCACCCACCTTCCCGATCATTAGATCACTCCCCCACCCTCCTCTTCCCTATCTTCTTTAGCTGTGGCCGCCATTTTCTATGCACCCAATACCCCAGCTGCCTCAGCCTCCTGCCCTCCGCTCCATCCGCTTTTGACACCCAGTGTTTCATCCTCCCTCTGCCACGTTATTCCTCACTCCAAGTATCCAACAAAGAAATCAAGACCAAAAGTTTTTTTAGGAATTCAGAGTTGTCTTGATATAAGAAAATCAATAAATATAATCTACCATATTAATGAATTAGAGAAGGAAACAATAGTTTATCTTGTGGAAATTCTAACGCAATCATAGACCTCTAATGATAAGATGAGCATTATCCTTCCTGGTACCTTGAGGTCAAGAATGAGACTCAGCTGCTTGTCCTCATTGCTGCTGTCTGGAAACGCTCTGGAATCTTCTTTGCCTCCATGAGAGGAGCTTACTTTGGCCCAGGCACTGTGGTGGAGTTTCACATCCATCAATTCATTAAGCCTTTCCCACAACCCTGGGAGGCAGCGCTGTCGTCATCTTCATGTTACAGATGAGGAAATGAGGAGCAGAAGAGTAAGTTGTTAGCTGGCCTAAGGCTGTACAGTCTACGACCCGCAGAATCAGGATTGAAATCCAGTCAGTGTTTCTGCATCTGTGCTTTAACCTCTATGCTGTGCTGTCTAGGAGTAGACTGCAAGGAGGAAATAGAAATACTAGTATTTGCTGTAGATATGATTTATTATTAAGAACACGTGGTCAGTTAGTACAATATGATAGTTTAGCTGGATACAAAATCAGTTAGACATGCAATTTTAAAATATACTTTTACATTATAATAAAAACAATAAATAGACTAAGACTAAGTCTAACAAAAGATGTAATAGCTCTTTCTGGAGAAAGTTATACAACTTTATTTTAGCAAAGGCATCAAATAAGACCTCAATAAGTGGGTGACACATTCAGTCCTTATAAAGGAATACAAATTTCATTGCAGATGTCAGTTTCCTCCAAAACCACTAGCATAAGAACCCGATAAGAGCATAGACTTTCTTCCTGCCTCCTTCCTTACCCTGAATCCTCAATACCTGCTTCTTCCCATCTTCAATCTCTCCATTTTGATAGCACGTTCTGTACAATTTATCTTCCAAGTCACCTACTTGCCCATTTGCCCTTGTTCCCTCCCTTCCCTTCCCTCTCCAACTTTTTTCCAGCTCCACTCCATTGACTCCACTCCATCCATTCCATCCATCCACTCTATCCGTTCCATTCACTCCACTCCATCCACTCTATCCATTCCATTGACTCCACTCCATCCATTCCATCCACTCCACTCCATCCATTCCACCCACTCCACTCCATCCATTCCACCCACTGCACTCCATCCATTCCACCCACTTCACTCCATCCATTCCACCCACTTCACTCCATCCATTCCATCCACTTCACTGCATTCACTCCATCCATTCCATCCACTCCACTCCATCCACTCCACTCTATTTCACTTCACTGCATTTGCTCCACTTCATTCCATTCCATTCCACTCCACTGAATTGCGTTCTAGCTTTCCCTTCCCCACTCCCTCTATCTTCTTTTTTCTCTCCTCTCCCTTTGTTCTTTCCAGTATTCTGCCTCCTCCATCCATCCACCCACAGGCCAATCCATTTATGCTTCCATTCTCCCACTCAATTACACATCCATCACCCTGACCACACATCTATCCTCTGTCCATCCAGTCTTCCGACCTAGGTCTCCTGTCCATCTGCCTAACCTGCACACTGAGGGATCCAGGCATTAGTCAGCCCCAGTATCTATCTGCCCACCTTCCTTCTTTCAGCCCAGCTCCAATCTACTAAGGCAAAGACTTTTTGCCCCTTCCTGTCTTCCTCTCTTTCCATTCTCCTTCCCTTCCTCATCCTAGAACTTGGTTTCTTCTTACAGCAAACACGCACATATTTGTGGATGTGATAGAAGGAAAGAGTGCTGAGGAGGGGAGGGCCCTATAATTCATTCTGAATGAAGGTTGCCTCTTGGAAATGAGTCCAGCTCAGTCCACTGCCTCCCCAAGACTTCCTGAGTGCCAGCCCACTCCTTTCGCCTTAATATTCCTCCCCAAAGGCCCTGTGGACTGCTGTCTCTCCTGCCAATGCACAACGCTCATCCTCAAGGCATCCCAGTTAATTTTAAACGAGGCAGAACCAATCAAATTAGGAGACAGTTGTGTCGCCCCATCCTCCAATTATATCCTCTCTGAGGCCAACTTCTTTTATTTTAATCATTTAAAACTTGCAAAAAGAAAAAACAAGGAATTTCTTTATATCCTTCACCCAGTTGCCCCAATTTTTTAACATTTTACCATATTTGCTTTTCTCTATATATATAAATACATCTCACCTACTTTATAAACCAGTTGAGGGCTGAGAGGTTTCAGACATGACGCCCCCGTGCCCCAAGTTCATCCGTGTACAGTGCCCCAGGGCAGAGACATGTTCCTCTAGAACCATCGTTCATTCGTCAGCTCTCGGAAACAAAGCACTGGTACTGTGCTGAGCACTGTGGCACCGGCTCTGCTGGGCTCCTGGATGCTCCAAGGCCCTGCTCCCTGGCTGACTGCCCATTTCCTGTCCTCCTCCCGGCTTCAGGTGCGAGACAAGAAGCTTCTCAATGACCTGAATGGAGCCGTGGAGGATGCAAAGACGGCCCGGCTGTTCAACATCACCAGTTCTGCCCTGGCAGCCTCCTGCATCATCCTCGTCTTCATCTTCCTGCGGTACCCCCTCACCGACTACTAAGGCCCGCCAGGCACGGCTGCTGGCGGAGACAAGCACTGAGACATGTTTATTCTCATGGTCCCTGAAACGCAGGATCCCATGAGGTTGGGGCAGGGCAGGGCTTCTTGTCCTGGGGCCCCCTTGAGCTGTGAACTGGGCAGCAAGGCCATCAGAAGCTGAGTACAGCAAGGGGGCAGTGAGCTTGGCCCTCAGTCCACCCCCTCCGCCTCCTGGCCTCCACCCTGCCTGTGTCTGGGGCCTGGGGGCTTCTCCCCTCGCTGCTGCACCCTGGCTTCCAGCGTCTGTGTCCCTGCCCTCACGTGCCCCTTCCCAGGCTCCTGGGGCCCCTTGGACCTGACACCTAGCAGGAAGGGCTTATGCAAAATTGTCCCAGGTTGGGAGGACTCACTCTGTGCTCCCCGACCCTGCCTCCTCCACGATGTGACCCCGCTCAGAGCCCTTGTGTCTGTGAACTTTCAATGAAATACCCATGCAGCTCCAGCCCAGCCTTCTACTTTGTGTCCCTGGCAGGGCCTGGAGAAGTCTGGAGGCTTTGCAATCCTCCCTCAGGAACTGCCTGGCGGTCAGGGCCCCGGGTGCTGTGTCCCAACAGACTGCAGGGGACGGTCTGCTCCATCACAGCTGTGCCAGACAGTGAATGGGAAGGGGGGGCATTTGGTGGAGGTACCCCAAACTCGAGTCACTTAGAGGGTCAGGCAGCCTCCTGGGGGGACGGAAGGGGGTGGGGCACAGCCTCAGCTGCCTGCATTGGCCAAATCAGAGCAAAGGAAACCACAAATTCACTCGGAAGGAAGCAGCAGGCAGAGACGATAGACGCCTGGCTAACCCCTGTCCCTCCTGGAGGGCTCTGGGACCTGGACAGGCCCCTTTACCTCTCTCGTGCCCATCTCCTTAGCTGTAAAATAGGAAAATGGCCTTTCACTTCTATAATCACTGTGAAAATGAACGGAAGATGCCTTTCAAAGGCCGAGGCCAGCGCCCTGACGGCCCATGGCATGTGCAGTCCACAATGTGGGAGGCAGGATGCAGGGATGGGCTCTGTCCCCTTGGAACTCAGGCACAGTCATGGGGGTGCCGGTCAGCCCTGAAGACAAGCTGATGAGGGTGCACTAGGAAAAGTGCAGGGCATCGGCGAGGCACACGAAGGAGGTGGGGAGGTGAAGATGGAGAAGAAGCCGAGGCAGTGGCCATGGGTGTGGAGCTTCGCGCTGTGGGTGCCCAGCTGGTCTGGGAAACCGCAGGAAATCCCGCAGCTCAGGTGCGCAGTGGGAAGGACTTGCTATTCCGTGGGAAGGCAGGCAAACCTTCCCAGGGAAGGGGCATGGCCGTGCGCCTCATGTTTTGGGAAGCTCGTGCCCTCTGGGGTAGCGAGGCCAGCTTGGAGGGGAGTCCAGTGGACAGAGGTGGATGCAAGTGGAGGGAGCTGAGCCTGGGCTGGGGCTGGCAGCAGAGGGCTGGACAGCAGGGCGCCTGCGTGGCAGCTGTGCAGTCAGTGGGGTTGACTGGTTTGGAAGGTAAGGTGGGGGAGAAGCCCGGAGGATTCCTGTCCCTTGACTTGGACAGCCCAGTGGAGAGGGCTGTGTACCAAGGGCAGGAAACCAGGGAGAAGAAGATGTTGACTTTAAGATACCAAGCAGAGAAGGGAAGAGCCTTCTGGGCTGGAGACGTGGGGTGCCTCAGAAGGGAGGACCTTGAGCTAGCAGCAGATGGGACAAACGCAGGGGACAGGGCACAGCCGTGGCAGGAGTGCAGCGAGCAAGATTCTGGTCACAGTCCTGACCCAGAAACCTGCAGAGGAAGGGAGGGTGGCCAGCACCTGCCCGTGGGCCTGGGGTGCAGCCCAGGCAGAGGTGGATGGAGGGGGTGCTCAGGGAAGAGGGGAGGGGAGTGTGTGACCTCAAAATGGGAGGGCTTGGGGGTCAGAGTCGAGAGAGGGGACAGGGTGGGGACCATGTGGGACTCTTGAGCACTGACCCTTGAACCCAGGCAGTGGTGGGATGGGAGGGCAGGAGGCGGCGGGCTGCGAGGCTGATGCGGGGCTGCACGGAGCTGTCATTGAGCCTCTTGGAGGATGGTGGGAGAAGTGCCAGGGGCGGCTGAAAGCCTTGCCGAGACTGTGGGCAGCCTGGTTGTGGGCACTTCGGATGCTTGCACCATTAGACCCAGAGGCTTCCTGGACAAGCCTGGGCTGGAAGAGGATGGCAGAGGCTGCTGGGCCTTGGAAGAGAGAGGGTCCTGGCTTCTAGTTCCTGGGGCAGCTAAGGCCAACCCCAGTGTCCAGGTGTCTTCCATGTTATGCCTGGGAGGGAAGAAAGTAGAGGGGCAAATGCTTTCTTTGCCTATTTTCCTTAAACATTTGGTGGCAGTGCTGGTGGCTGCCTGGGACAGGGGCCAGGAGGAAACACCCCTGCATTAGGGAAGCCCTCAGCCAGCTTTTCCCTGGGATGTTCCTGCGCCTGGCTGAAGCTTTCTGAGTTCATGTTGGGGAAATGGAACGGTCACCTTCCAGCCAGTAAAGGCACCCCTAGCTCTTGGGATGTTTGTATCCAACTCCGGGCAATGTGGGGCTACAAAGGCCCCTGGCTTCCATACCCTGGGGACCGGGGGAGGGCTGGTGCTCCCGCGGTGGGTGTCCACGGTGAGGTCAGGCCCCCACAGCAGGTGCATTCTCGCCCTCAGCAGGCAGGCAAGCAGGCATCAGCTCCGGCGCTGGTCTCTGGCTTCGAAGTCTGTGTCTTTGCCTGTCTGTACTCATGCCTGACCTGCTGGCGCTCCCTGTCCACTGCACTCCTCCCACCTCATTTTTATGTGATTTTGCACAGTGCCTGGCAGACATTTGACATTCAATAAACATTGTACGAACGAAAGAATCAATCCCCCTCTCACTCTCTCTGTCCTTCTCCCTGTGTGCCTCCATATATTTGTGCATCTTTGGGGAGTCAGGTGACTTTCCCTACCCTCCCCTCTCCCCATGCTGCCCTGGTCACTGCCCTTGGGACCCCAGCCCAACAGGCCAGTTTAAAAGGATTGGGGCTTGGCTCAGTGGCTCATGCTTATAATCCCAGTGCTTTGGGAGACTGAGGCAGGAGGATTGCTTGTGCCCAGGAGCTCAAGGCTGCAGTGAGCCGTGATTGCACCACTGCACTCCAGCCTGGGTGACAGAGTGAGACCCTGTCTCAATAAATAAATAAATAAAGGATCAAGACTGAGGGGACTGTAAAGGCTGAGCCTCACTGTGCATCTGTGTGTGTGTGTGTGTGTGTGTGAGACTGTGTGCATATGTGTTCGTGTGTGTGTGTAGTGTGTGTGCCTGTGTGCTTTTGTCTGTGTATGTGGTGCATGTGTGTGTGACTGCTTCTGTGTGACTGTGTGCATGTATGTGTTGTGTGTGACTGCATGTGTGTGTGACTCTATGCATGCATGTATTATGTGCACATGTGTTTGAATGTATGTAACTGTGTGTGTGTTTGCATGTGTGTGACTGCACGTGATATTCACGTTATGTGTGCATGTGTGTGTGCCTGTGTGCATGTGTGTGTGTTGTGTGTACAAGGGTGTGCATGTATGACTGTGTGCATGTGTGTAAATGTGCTTTGTGTGAGTGTGTGTGACTGCATGCATGTGGATGTGTTGTGTATACATGTGTATGCATGCATGTGGATGTGTTGTGTGTACATGTGTATGCATGCATGTGGATGTGTTGTATGTGCATGTTTGTGACTGTGTGCATGTGTGTGACTATGTATGTGTGTGTGTGTTGTGTGTACGTGTGTGGCCGTGCATAAGTGTATATGTGCTGTGTGTGGCTGTGTGCATGTGTGTGTGACTGTGTGCATGTGTGTATTATGTATATGTGCATGTGTGTGACTGCACATGTGTGTGTTGTGTGTACATGTGTGCATGTATGTGACTGTTCATGTGTGTATTGTGTATATGTGCTGTGTGTGGCTGTGTGCATGTGTAAGATGTGTGTGCGTGTGTATTGTGTATATGTGCTGCGTGTGGCTGTGTGCATGTGTGTGTTGTGTATGTCTGCATGTGTGTATTGTGTGTGTGTGCTGTGTGTGGCTGTGTGCATGTGTGTATTGTGTATGTGTGCTGTGTGTGGCTGTGTGCATGTGTAAGATGTGTGTGCATGTGTGTATTGTGTATATGCTGTGTGTGGCTGTGTGCATGTGTGTGTGACTGTGTGCATGTGTGTATTATGTATATGTGCATGTGTGTGTCTTCACATGTGTGTGTTTTGTGTACATGTGTGCATGTATGTGACTGTGCATGTGTGTATTGTGTATATGTGCTGCGTGTGGCTGTGTGCATGTGTGTGTTGTGTATGTCTGCATGTGTGTATTGTGTGTGTGTGCATGTGTAAGATGTGTGTGCATTGGGGAGGAGGTGCTATAGGGTCATCCCCCAGCCTCCCTTCCCCTGACCACAGTGGTCCAGAGCTCTCCAGGCTCCCCTGCCCTTGCCAAGCCACTGCCCATTCCTGCAGGTGGTGGAGCTTGATGCCTCTTCTCCAGACACTGGAAATCCGCATAACATTCTTTCCTAATTGCATGTGCTCAGCTGTCCCACGGGGGCTTTAGAGACCAGCAATATACGCTCCCTGGGGTCCTCCTCCCATAGCATGCAGCTGACTAGCTCAGATGGATGGGGGCACAAGGGGCCAGGGAAGTCTCTGACCCCACAAAACCACAGGGCCCACTGAACCTCAGGATGAGAGGAACTGTCCTTGACAGGGACTGGGCGGAGAGGGGAACTGTTCTGAGACAGAAAAGGGACAGGAATCTCCTCCCCACCCCGACTTCACATCCACCTGCTGAGCTGGAGGCTTTGCAGGGGTGGTCGGGGCCGCTCGCAGCCAGGACGGGAGATGTGCTCTTGGGAGACTGGCCAGAGAGGCTGTGATGGTGGAAGAAGCAGAAGTAGTCACTGGAAACAGCATCTGAAAATGGCCCACAGCTGATAAGCTCCATCAACCCACCAATTTGAGACCAGTGAAGCCCACACGATAGAACAGTAAATCCCCGGCTGAGTACATCACAGTGGAACTGCACAGCACCAGAGACACAGAGGAAAATGCCTTAAAAGCAGCCAGAGAAAACCGATTATTTTCAAAGCAGCAACGATGACTTTTAGCCAAAATTAATGGGCTGTTCATGACCTATGGGAAAGAAAGGATTTCTTTAAACAAAAACTTCTTAAATGTGAAATATAACGCACAGAATAGTGCCCAAAGTCAATTAAAAGTAAAATTTTTGAAAATGTACAGCTTGATGAATCTTCACAAAGCAATCACCCATCAATTTAACCATACAATATCAAGAAAGAGCACTTTGTCCAGACCCCTGGAAGCCCCCGGGGGCTCCTTCTGACCACCCCTTCGTTCCCAGCTGGGACCCACCACCCTGACTGATCAACACCCAGCAATCAATTCCAAGTCCTTGTGTACATTTTTACGACCTAAGAGTGCATCCCTCAGCGCCGTCATCTGTTAAACAGGCTCCTGACTTTTGGAACTTTTTATGAATGGAACCGGGCCATGCACTCTTTTGTGCTTGGTGTTTTGCGCTGAGTCACCCCCGGCGATTCACTGGGGTGCCTATGAATTTTCATTGCAGACTGACATCCATTGCATCATGTACCACAGCGTACATATCCATTTTACCACCGACAAACGCTTGGGCGGTTTCCGTCTTGGCATTTAGGGGTACCACTGCTGCAAGCATCCTTGTGTGTGCTGCTCGGGGCCCCCAGAACCCATGTCTCTCGGGCAGATCCTTAGTAGTGGGATTGCCGAATTATGAAGTCTGCTGATCCTCCACCTCAGCAGGCGACGCCCGCCCTCCAAGATGGCTGCGCCTCCCCCAGCAGTGTGTGTTCCCACCGTTTCATTTCCTCCCCAGTGCACCTGCTGTCAGTCTTTTTTTTTTTTTTTTTTTTTTAATTTTTGCCACTCAGGGGAACATGTGGTAGTATCTCGTGGTGGGTTTGGTTTGTGTTTCCCAGATGGGTGAGGAAGTCGAGCGTCTTTTCTGCGCACAGACTGGCCATTTGGTTTTCCTGTTTGTGAAATGACTATTTCAGTGTCTTGACCATTTCTTTCCTACCAGGCTGTCAGTTTCTCCGTGATTCTAGGGGTTCTCTCAGGACAGCGTGTCCACGTCCTCTGATGGTTCTACGCAGTGCAGATAATTTCTTCCGCTCGGAGGCTTTCCTCTTCGCTCTCCTAGTGGCATCTTTTTATAGACAGAAGTTTCCAATTTTAATATAGTCACAATTACCAACATCTTCCATTTGGTTACTGCTTTTCTCGGCAAGACACAAATAGAGTGATCATAATGAAAAACGTTGATGCATTTGACAAATCTGAGCACAGGTGGGGCAACTTCTGGGTTGCTGGGAAGGTTCCGTTTTCTGATGCTGGTGGTGGTTGCATGACTATTTGCTTTATAAAAGTCATTAAGTTGTACATTTATGCTTGATGTAGTTTTCTGTATAATATTTATGTCTTTTATATATTGCAGTGTTATGTATAAATGCCATCAATGGGAAATAACTCAAATGTCTACTGACATATTTTCATATGCATATGAAAATAAAATAAATAACTATGAACATCTTTGGGTTCAAGTAATATCTCTGAGAGAAATTAGCCTTATATTTATTCATAAGTAATTCCAATGCATAGAAAGAATATCTCCAGAAGAAAAGTGGCTCTGGGAATGGAAAGTGAGCAGTGGTGATTAGTAATTTTTATTGTGAACTAAGCTGCACAGAGAGGAGAATGTGGGGGCATCCCTGTGGGGAAGGCACTCGAGGAGGGGGGCAGGAGGCTGGGCACGGAGAGGAGGGGCTGCAAGGAGGGGGCCAGAGCCATGCCTGATGAGAAGGGCATCTGCGGGGAGATGGGCAGTGGCAATGGGAGGGAGGTGATTACACCCAGGGGGTCGGTAGAAGAAGTAAAGATATTGAAGTAAATGGGAGTCTGCTTTCTCACTGTGGGCAAAGAGAGTGACAAATATTGAAAGGGATGAAACTAGAACGCAGCCTGTGGTGTTGGATTGGAGTTGGAGGAATCCATTTATTCTCCAGCTCCTTCCTCTAAGAGGCTCTGAAAGCAGCAACCCCCCAGTGGCAGACCCTGGCCCCTAAATACCACTCACCACCGACAGGACCCGGGGCTCCCTGGGGAAGCAGCTGATTCCAGGCTGAGACAGGTCAGGGGCAGGATGAGCCAGGGCGAGGACATGCAGAAAACACGCAGGAGTCGCTTCCCACCGGCCACGCCAGAGACAACTTGAGCATCAAAGCCAATAATGTTAGTCAAGATTACAGTTTATTGCATAAAATAGGAACCCGAGTTTAATACACTGATGTTAATACATCAATAAACTGGTAGTTGAACAACCACAGTGATCTTTAGTTCCAAAGAAATTTCCTAAAGAGTCATCGCAATCACAAAGAAACTTTATGACTTTATGCCTTCAGAGGTAACTTTACAGGTGGGGAAGCCCAGCAGGCATCACCTTGATCAAATGATCAAAGTGAATGTCATCAACAACCAGATAAATTGAAACTGTTCACCACCTGATGGGATGCACTGATAAGAACGGAGTCGTTTCTGTGATATTTCTGCCGGTTAAGGACTGAATGTTTGTGTCACCTCCACTGTGATGGTATTGACGGCAGGGCCTCTGGGAGCTGATCAGGGTTAGATGAGGTCGTGAGGATGGGACCCCCATGATGAGGTTAGTGTCCTTATGAGAAAAGACACCAGAGGGCTTGTTCTCTCTCTCCCACAGCCTGTGAAGACACAGTGACAAGGCGGCCGTTTGCAAGCCAGGAAGAGAGCCCTCACTAGGACCCAAATCTGCCAGCACCTTGATCTTGGTCTTGTACTTCCAGCCTCCAGAAATGAGAAAGAATAATTTTTTTTGTTTCAGCCACCCAGTCATATTAGCTGTGGCAGCCTGAGGTGACTAATATCCTGCCAAAAACGCACAGCCAAACACCAGGCAGACCCAAACTGAGGGATCGTGAGAATAGATCTGGCCTATAATCAGAAGTGTCGAGGTCATGAACGTCAAGGAAAGATTGAGGAACCATTCCAGACAAATGTAATTAGGCACACTCTCACTCTGCAGTTTGTCTTTTCACTGTCTTAATGTTATATTCTGATAACTAAGTTATTTTTTATTAAATTCCATTTATAATTTTTATCTTGTATGACTGATGTTTTTCATGTCCTGTTAATTTTTAATTTCTTTTTTCTTTATTTTTTTTTTACTCACTTCAGGGTCATGAAGCTTTTCTCTTAATAGCTTTATTGTTCTGCCTTTTGGATCTAGGTCTGTGCTCCACCTTGGATGAATTTTTGTGTATGATGTGAGGTGGGAGGTCGGGGGAGCTGAGGACACTGTAGGTCCTCCACCCAGGTCTGCTTGGGTCATACCACTGTTCCTCTGTGCCCCACCCCCAGCCTCAGTGTGCATCTGTCTCCAAGAGTCCACGACTGAGATGGTACTTGGGAAGACCCTGTATCTGGACTTCATATCCCTTTCACAGTCTTTAGTCACTGCTGTTTCCGGCTGGAGCCCCAAAGCCAAGCTCCCCTGTCTGCATCAAGATAAACTTATGATCTATGATCAAGAGTTGCCATTGATTAGGCAGAAGCTGGGCCTGCACAGAAACCCCCACTCTCCTGAAATCTTACTTCCCTTCCCCCATTTTCCTAGGAGCATGTCCCCAGTAAATTACAGACATGGAGATCTTCTCACTTCTGGTTCTGCTGCCGGAGAACCTGAACCAACTCCGGGGCAATGTTAGTATTTTTATTCTTCCCATAGAGACGTCCCAGTGCTGCCATGTCCCTCATGGAGAAGACCATCTTTCCCCCACTAAGTTGCAGGGGCCCTCAGTGGTTTGTTGGGTGGCCGTAGAGACGTGGTGCATGTGTTTCTGGACTTCAGTCTGTCCCACTGGTCTATTTATCTGACTTTACAGCAGCATCAGACTGTCTCCATTCCTGTGGGAATACTATCTGTATTAAGTCTTCATAACTGGTAATGTTTTTCAAGGAATTTTTCCATTTCATTGAAGCTGCCAGATGTATTGACATAAAGTTGTTCATAGTATATTTTTATTCCATTTTGGATGTCTGTACCCACATTTTCATTTCTGATCATCCTATTTCATACTCTTGACAACTTTTGATTCTCTTTATTCTTGGTCAGTCTTGTAGATAATTATCAATATACTTATTTAAAAAAGAAAAGTTTGCCTGTGGGTCTTTCCATTGTGTGTCTGCTTTTCATTTCATTAATTTTTGTTCCTAACTTTATTATTCCCTTTCTTGTAATTTCTTTGGGTTTAAATTGCTGTTTTTCCCTCCAGCCTCTTTGGTGAATAATTCTTTTTAACTTTCTTTTTTCATAATATAATGAATTAATTTAAATCCATAAATATCCTACAAGTTTTGATATTATATATGTTTTATTATCATTTGTTTCAATATAGTTTCTGAGTTCTATCCTGATTTCTTTTTTGAATCCTTGATTACATAGACACTTGGTTAATTTGCAGACATTCAGATTTTTTTTTTTCTGAGACGGAGCCTCGCTCTGTCACCCAGGCTGGAGTGCAGTGGCACCACCATCTCGGCTCACTGCAAGCTCCGCCTCCCGGGTTCACACCATTCTCCTGCCTCAGCCTCCCGAGTAGCTGGGACTACAGGCGCCTGTCACCTCGCCCGGCTAATTGTTTTGTATTTTTAGTAGAGACGGGGTTTCACCGTGTTAGCCAGGATGGTCTCGATCTCCTGATCTCGTGATCTGCCCACCTCGGCCTCCCAAAGTGCTGGGATTACAGACGTGAGCCACCGTGCCCGGCAGACATTCAGATTTTTATAGTGATTATTATTGTTTTTTTCTTTGAGACAGAGTTTCGCTCTACACTCGCCCCCACTGGAGTGCAGTGGCGCAATCTCAGCTCACTGCGACTTCCGCCTTCCAGGTTCAAGCGATTCTCCTGCCTCAGCGTCCCGAGTAGGTAGGACTACAGGCACCCACCACTACGCCCAGCTAATTTTTTGCATTTTTAGTAGAGACCATGTTGGCCAGGCTGGTCTCAAACTCCTGGCCTCAGGTCATCTGCCCGCCTCGGCCTCCCAAAGTGCTGGGATTAAAGGCGTGAGCCACCACGCCCGGCCTGTAGTTATCCTTCTGTTCTCAGTATCTGGCTTTATTTTTACTATTGTCAGGGAACATTCCCTAGATCATTTCAATACTTTAACAATGCATGAGGCTTCTTTTTGAAGCAGATTTTGGTCTGTTCCTGTAACTGTGTCTATGTGCACTTGAAAAGATGTTTATTTTCCAGTTATTGGCTGTAAATTTTAATTATTTCCAGTGGTTAATTATGTTGTTGAAATCTTCTCCTGCCTTACTGATTTCATTTTCAGTCTAATTGTCCTATCAGTTGCTGAGAGACGTGCATTACGGCCTCCAACTCTGATTGTAGATTTGTCTATGTCTCCTTGCCACTGTCAAGCTTTGCTTTTGCGTATTTTAAGCAACGCTATCAGATGAATGGAAGTTTAGAATTGTCGTGTCTTTTTGATTGATCTTTTTGAAATTATCAAGTGATTCATTTTATTGGTAGCAATATTTCTTTTATTAAGTCTACTTCCTTTCTGATGTTTATTTAACTACCTCTGCTTTCTTTTGGGTAATGTTTGTAAGCTATATCATATTTCGATTCCAATCTGTGCATATCCTTTAATTATATCTTTTATAAAAAACTATTTATGTATTTATTTAGATGGAATCTTGCTCTGTCACCCAGGCTGGAGTGCAGTGGTGCCATCTCGGCTCACTGCAACCTCCGCCTCTCAGGTTCAAGCGATTCCCCTGCCTCAGCCTCCCGAGTAGCTGGGATCACAGGCGTGTGCCACCACGCCCAGCTAGTTTTTGTATTTCTAGTAGAGATGGGGTTTAGCCATGTTGGCCAGGCTGTATTTATTTATTTTTGAGACTGGGTCTTGCTCTGTCACCCAGGCTGGAGTGCAGTGGCACAATCATGGCTCACTGTAGCCTCGACTTCCCGAGCTTCAGCGATCCTCCCACCTCAGCCTCCTGAGTAGCTGGGAACACAGGCACATGCCACCAAGCCTGGCTAATTTTTTTTTTTTTTTTTTTGGGGTACAGATGGGGTCTTGCAATGTCGCCTAGGCTGGTCTCGAACTTCTGAGCTTCAAGCGCTCCACCCATCTCAGCTTCCCAAAGTGTTGGGATTACAGGCGTGAGCCGCTGTGCCCTGCTGTAAACAACATTTGTTTTTTTTAAAGTTGTATTGACTAATTTGACTTTTATCTGCAGTGATTATCCACTTATTGTAACATTGAAAATAATTATGATATAGTTACATTTAAATCTACCTTTGTTTTGCAATGTTTTCCTCGACTCACTTGTTTTTCCTCCTTATTTCTTTTCTGCCTTTTGTTAGATGAATCAAATTTTTGTTTGTTTGTTTGTTTGAGAGGGAGTCTTTCTGTTGCCCAGGCTGAACTGCAGTGGCGGGATCTCAGCTCACTGAAACCTCTACCTGCCGGGTTCAAGCAATTCTCCTGCCTCAGTCTCCCAAGCAGCTGGGACTACAGGCGAGTGCCACTACGCCCAGCTAATTTTTTGTACTTTCAGTAGAGATGGGGTTTCACCATGCTGGCCAGGCTGGTCTCGATCTCCTGACCTAGTGATCCATCCACCTTGGCCTCCCAAAGTGCTGGGATCACAGACATGAGCCACCGCGCCCGGCCAAATCAAATGTTTTTATTTCATTTTATCTCCATTAGATCTTTAGCTATATACTTTTGTATTAATCTCTTAGGAGTGATAATATGACAACAGGAGTTACTGGCTTGTTACGGTCTAAAGAAAGTTGTGCTTTTACCACTTCCCAGAAACAGTACAGACATTTTACAGGAATTTAACCATGTCTACCTCCTCCTGCCCTTTGTGCTATTGTCATTTTATATTTTACCTCTATATATGTTATAAACATCTGTAATCTCTTTGTTTTAAATACGCAGTCTCTCTCTCTCTCTCTCTCTCTTTCTCTTTCTCTTTTTCCATGTAGTGACTTGCATACTTACTCAGCCTTTCCAGGACACTGTATTCTGTTTTGAAGTTCCGCATTCTATCTGGGACAATTTTTTTTCAGCACAAAAATCTCCCTTGAGTGTTTCCTGCAACAGCCTGGCTGGTCTGAAATGGTCTTTGCTTTTATTTTTGAAGGATATTTTTGTTGCCTATAGAATTCTAGGTTGGCCATTTTTTTCTTTTAAAAAAACACCACCACCACACTGTCATCCCGTTCTCTTACGGCTTCCATTGTTTCTAATGAGAAATCAACTAACTCATAAAATCAGTCAGTTACGCTGACCGATTGTCCCTTGAAAGACTGTCTTTGATTTGTATATTTTCTATTCATCTTTCTTTAAATTTGCTAATTCAGTCTTCTGCTCTGTTCAGCATATGATTGAATATACCCAACATGTTTTTAGAAGAATCATAGTTGATTGCAGAAAATCTTGATTAGGACTCTTGGCTTGTGTGAAGGAAAACAAAAGAATATGTTAAGAACCCTTCTCTGAAGATTCATAATGCATATTAGCTAGGTAAAATAAAACTCACAAAAGACATGTTGCTTGGAAATCTATTGAGTGTTGCTTAATCCAACATTTTCTATACATTGTGTATTTTAAGCAAAATTTAATTATATCTTGATTATTGCCAAACACTTTAAGAAATACTACCTTAGGATATAACTTGTGTAAATATCTCAGGATCTACTCTCAGAAAGTATATGTGGGCATAGCACAGCTATATTCTGTTTTTTCATCCAATGCATTTTCAAATTTTAGATATAATGTTAGTTTAACAATGCTTATACCATTGTTTTTTAGATTCCAATTTTCTGATGAGATTCTTCACCTTCTCATGCATTTTGTTCATCTTTTCCTCTATCTTCAAAACATATGTATAATAGTTCTTTTAATGCATAACTCCAACATACAGATTATAAGTGGTTGCCTCTTACTGTCTGGCTTTCTTTTCTTTTTTCGTTCTTTACAACAGGTAACCATCCTGCTAAGTTTATTTTCTTGATATTGGATGTATTTATCTTCTTTTCATGTCTCTATTTATTTTTGCATTTCATACATTATGCATAAAAGAACTTCAGAGGCTAAACATTATGTATTAATTTATTAAAGACAAATTGTTGTTTTCTCGTGAAGAAGATTTTCTCCTGCTAGGTGGATCGCATGGGAGGGCTTGACGGTTTCAACCCAGTTTGTTTGAGGAATTCGTTTGACTGCGTTTGCTCAGGATTGGATTTGAGATTTTCTGAGTCAGTCGCTTTTAGTTTGTTACCGATTTGGGGCAGAACCCTCCTGAGCCCTTAAATGTTTCTCCTAAGCCGTGAAAGAGGATGCAGATTCCGTCTTCCCGGCAGAGGTTTTGCTCTTTGCTCTTCGCTCTGGCTGGAGATCTGGGTGGGAATCCTGGGGGCCTCGAGCACTGGGGGCAAGCCACTGTCTCCAGAGGGACTCACGAATCATGGGGCCGCAAGAGAGGAGTTCACTCAGCCTCTTTTTTTTTTTTTTTTTTTTTTGAGACGGAGTCTTGCTCTGTCGCCCAGAGCTGGAATTACAGGCCTGAGCCAGCGCACCTGGCCGGTGATATCTTTTAAATCTGGTTAAACCAGGTGCGCTGGCTCAAGCCTGTACTCCCAGCACTTTGGGAGGCCAAGGTGGGTGGATCACCTGATGTCAGGAGTTTGAGACCAACCTGGCCAACATGGTGAAACCCCATCTCGGCTCACTGCAAGCTCTGCCTCCTGGGTTCACGCCATTCTCCTCCCTCAGCCTCCCGAGTAGCTGGGACTACAGGCACCTGCCACCACGCCCGGCTAATTTTTTGTACTTTTAGTAGAGACGGGTTTCACCGTGCTAGCCAGGATGGTCTCGATTTACTGACCTCGTGATCTGCCCGCCTCGGCCTCCCAAAGTGCTGGGATTACAGGCTTGAGCCACCGCGTCTGGCCCACTCAGCCTCTTAACAGTTACCAACCCAACATCCCCGCTCTGCGGACCACCCTAGACCTGGACAAGTGTCCAGCGGCCACAACCGGCTCTGCCCTGCGCCTCCCGCCACTCCCTTCCAGCCCCACGAGACTCAGCAATGTCTCCACTGGCTTCTCTTCCCCTAGCAGAATCCCAACACCCAGGCCAAACCCAACCCTCAGCCCTCTCCCAAGATGGGCCCCCAGGAGAAAATCAGCCATTTAGAGCAACTATCTAGAAAAGGTTATTCTTTGGAAGTTGAGTTGCTCTAGTCTTCTTTGCTTTTATGGCTCTTGAATGTCCTGTGTGTACTTGTCATCTGCATTTTTTCTAGTGGTCGTAGCGTTGTTTCCTAAAGTGATACACGACATCTCAACGAAGCAGGGGTCTTCAGTGGTTGTCCTTTTCTTTATTACCAGTTCTTGATTTAACCAGATATAAAGGAGATCACCGGCCAGGTGCGGTGGTTCACACCTGTAATCCCAGCACTTTGGGAAACCAAGGTGGGTGGATCACCTGAGGTCAAGAGTTCGAGACCAGCCTGGCCAAGATGGTGAAACCCCATCTCTACTAAAAATACAAAATTAGCCGGGGGTGGTGGCGTGCGCCTGTTATCCCAGCTACTCGGGAGGCTGAAGCACGAGAATCACTTGAACCCGGAGGTGGAGGTTGCAGTGAGCTGAGATGATGCCACTGCACTCCAGCCTGGGTGACAAGAGCAAGACTCCATCTCAAAAAAATAATAATAATAAAATAAAAGATATCACCCTTGATGATCTTCTAGGGTCTTTATTATGTTGTTTTTCACATTTAGATGGATAATCTCCCTGCGCATGGAGACAGGCAGAGGTGAGTTCCGCCTCTCTGCTGTTTTGAAAACCCGTCCTTTCTTCATTGTTCTGCTGAGACACCTTAGCTGGACCTCAAGTGTTCCTGGATGCAGGGTCTAGTGCTCGGCTCTCTATTTGCTCTTCTGTCTGTTGCTGTACCGATGCCAGATCATCTTACTTACCGTAGCTTGAGAATAAGCCCACATGTCCACTCCACCCCTCATATTGTCACTCTCCAAGAATTTCTCGATTATTTTACTTTAGATTTTCACTTAATTTTAGAGCCAGTTTATCCAAATTTTTTTAAGCCTATCGGAATTTTGATTAAATCTATAGATATATTTTTGTTGGTGCAAAATTAATTGCGGTTTTTGCCATTAAAAGTATGCCATATAGCATGCTTGGAGATTTGGAAAACCCTTACGTATTATAAACATATGTAAACAAAAACTCTCACACATTGTAAAAACGTAAATTCTCCCCAAATATTAGGCTGGTGCAAAAACAACTGTGGTTTTTGCCGTTAATGAATTTACATTTTTATAATATGTAAGTTTTTCTTTACATATTTTTATAATAGGCAAGGGTTTTCCAAATCTCCAAGCATGCTATAACCTTCCATTTATGTAAGCCTTCTTTAATTTCTCCCAAAAAAAAACGCTTTATTGTTCTCTGTGTAGTCTTACACAGTTTGTTAAATTTATTTCTAGATATTTGATTTTTATGCTACTGTAAATGTCACACCATTTGAAACATTTTCTTTTCTAAGTTTTTATTACTAATGTGAAGAAATACTATTGACTATTAAAGAGTAATCATATAGCCAGGATCCTTACTAAATGCATTTCTTATTTTAATAATGTTTTGTAGCTTTATCTGGATTTGTTATATATATAATCATGGCACCTTATCATATGAATAATTAGAGTTTTATTTCTTCCTTTCTAATTCACATACATTTTATGTGTTTTTCTTGACTAACTGCATTTTCTAGGACCTCAATTTCAATGTAAAACAGGTGGTGATAGCAGGCTTTTCTTTTATAATCCTTATCTCAAAGATAAATCTTTGAAGTTTGTAGGACTTGTGTGATATTTGTTCTGGGTATTTGCAGACATCCTCTATTAACTTAAAGAACTTCCCTATCATTTATAATATGCTAATATTTACATTTTTGCTATAATGCCATAAATAGGAAAGACTTTTTATTCTGCAAAAGAAAGCATGGACTAAAAACTAACAGAGCTGATGGAAAAATAGATCTGGGCGGCAGTTTTGTTCCAAAGCTGTGTAATTTTGGGACTGGAGTAAATGACAAGCGTTAGCAAAGTTCAGTCCCCGTCATCACGTCCACCCAGCACCTGTTAACTGCCCCTTCTCAGCCTTCAATCCTGGCTCAGGATTCTCATTTCAACAAAGAGGCCCTGACAGGCACTCACTTCAGATTTTCCCAAATTTAAACGTGTGCTTCAGATTGTAGGCATTTTCATGATTTTTTTTCACCATGGGTGAAATGCATTTTTTTTTTTTTGGAGACAGAGTCTCGCTCTGTCACCCAGGCTAGAGTGCAATGGCACGATCTCTGCAACCTCTGCCTCCCGGATTCAGGCGATTCTCATGCCTCAACCTCCTGCGTAGCTGGGATTACAGGCGCCCGCTACCACGCCTGGTTAATTTTTGTATTTTTAGTAGAGACGGGGTTTCGCCATGTTGGCCAGGCTGGTCTTGAACTCCTGACTTCAGGTGATCCGCCCACCTCAGCCTACCGGAGTGCTGGGACTACAGGTGTGAGCCACCTTGCCCAGCACTTCTCAGCCTTTTCATGTGTGCCCCCAGCTTCTTCAGATGGCTCATCGGGGCAGGTGCAGCAGCAGTCCCTGCGGACACCAAGCCAGCCATGGCCCGCGTGGAGAGAAGCGCCTGTCTTAATTGTGAAAATGCTTACCTCAGTCCTTTTACATCATTAATATGCTGGGGGGAAAGGTGTCTAAAGGAGAATAATTCTAGTGTCATACTGATATTACTTTATTTGCCAGTTGCTTTTGAGCTGGTTTGCATTTTACACAATGCATTCTGGCAGAAATGACCCCGTTTTATTAAATTCCTATGAAATATTATGGAATGACGTTTCTACATCATTTATGTGATTTTCTTTCGTGTATTCAAGGAAGTTAATGCAGCAAATGACATTCTTGGACATTTTGTCTAATGTTAAAACAGGCTCGCGTGCCTGGACTGGGCCTAAAATGTTCATTGTGTATTTGTGTTTTGAAACGCTGCTATTTTTGTCATGCCTCTTTGTTCCAGAAGCAAGTGTGCGCTGGACTCCCAGGCTTCCTTGTGCCCGCCGCCCCCCTGGGGCTTGGGTGCCAAGATTTGGCCTGCTTGGCCTCGAGTTGCTTAACAGGGTTTTTGCCTCTGCATTTTATATTTGGTGCAGCAGCTGGTGAGGCCACATGACCCTGGAGCTTTCTTTGTAGGAAGGTTTTAATTTAGTTTGAATTCCTTTAATAGTTATTGCTTTATTTGCTATCCTATTTATGTCCTTCTCTCTCCAATATCTTGCACCGAATGCTTAATTCATTAATTTTTTTTTTTTTTTTTTTTGAGGCAGGGTCTTACTCTGTCGTCCAGGCTGGAGTGCAGTGGCCACAATCTTAGCTCACTGCAACCTCCACCTCCCGGGCTCAAGCGATTCTTGTGCTTCAACCTCCTGAGTAGCTGGGAAAAAATACTTTTTTGTTTGTTTGTTTTACTCAACGCAACAGTTTTTAGTCAGAGAATATTATATTCCACAGTCTGAAGTATGCACCATATTCCAGCGAACCTCAGTTGTTTTAACTGGTGCACAAACAGCAAACAAGAGGGCCATAGAGGCAGCATTTTCTGCAGCTCTTTCATCTAGTATATATCTGTGTAAAAATGCTATGACGATGAGCTTCGATTTTTCCCTTCAGATGTTTTCATGTTTTCTAATTTTATTTTTAAGTGTAGTTTGAGTGCAAGGTAACTGTGGCAAGTTGGTGACAAATTGGCTGGTTGACAAATTGGTGAAGAAAATGCAGAATAAAAGAAGGGGTAGGCCGGGTGCAGTGGCTCACGCCTGTAATCCCAGTACTTTGG
This sequence comes from Homo sapiens, assembly GCF_000001405.40. NCBI lineage: Eukaryota > Metazoa > Chordata > Mammalia > Primates > Hominidae > Homo > Homo sapiens. Next base: position 190,947 of record NT_187657.1, on the reverse strand, counting down.
GAGGCCGAGGTGGGTGGATCACCTGACATCAGGAGTTCAAGACCAGCCTGACCAACAAAGTGAAACCCTATCTCTATTAAAAATACAAAATCAGCCAGGCGTGGTGGTGAGCACCTGCAATCCCAGCTACTCAGGAGGCTGAGGCAGGAGAATCACTTGAATCCCGGAGGCGGAGGTTGCAGTGAGCCAAGATGGCGCCACTGCACTCAGGCCTGGGCACCAAGAGCGAAACTCCATCTCAAAAAAAAAACAAAAAATAAACAAACAAAAAAAACAAGAAGGGGTAAAATGAACCTTTGTTAAAACATTTTAATTAGGGGCCAGGCGCGGTTGCTCACACCTGTAATCTCAGCACTTTGGGAGGCCGAGGCTGGTGGATCATGAGGTCAGGAGATCGAGACCATCCTGGTTAACACGGTGAAACCCCGTCTCCACTAAAAATACAAAAAAAAATTAGCCGGGCGTGCTGGCGGGCGCCTGTAGTCCCAGCTACTAGGGAGGCTGAGGCAGGAGAACGACGTGAACCCAGGAGGCGGAGCTTGCAGTGAGCTGAGATCGTGCCACTGCACTCCAGCCTGGGTGACGGAGTGAGACTCCATTTCAAAAAAAAAAATTTTTTTTAATTAATGTATTTTTTTAATTTTAATTTTTTTTTAGAGGCAGGGTCTCACTCTGCCATCCAGGCTGGAGTTCAGAGGTGTGATCATGATTCACTGCAGCCTCAACTTCCTGGGCTGAAACCGTCCTCCCACCTCAGCCTCTGGAGTAGCTGGGACTATAGGTGTACACCACTATACCAGGTTAATTTTTGTATACGTATATATGTGTGTGTGTACCTATATTTGTAGAGATGGAATCTTTCTATTTTGCCCAGGGTGGTCTCCTGGGCTCAAGTGGCATGGACGTGATCTCCACTCACTGCAACCTCCGCCTCCCGGGTTCAAACGATTCTCCTCCCTCAGCCTCCCAAGCAGCTGGTACCATAGGCGCGTGCCACCATGTCTGGCTAATTTTGCATTTTTAGTAGAGACGGGGTTTCACCATGTTGGCCAGGCTGGTCTCAAACTCCTGACCTCAGGTGATCCGCCCGCCTTGGCCAACCAAAGTGCTGGGATTACAGGCGTGAGCCACAGTGCCCGGCCCAGAATGTTCTATTTACATTTTATTCATGGAGTTGTAGCATAATTGCAGAGAATACTCACCGTATGATTTCAATCTTTTCAAATTTTTCAATACTGACTTTACGGTAAATCTTTTGTGAATGTGTCACATGTCCTTGAGAAAAATTATGTCCTTTTCCGTGTTGGTGCTGGGTTCCTTAGAGGACTTGTGGGCTGTGTATTCGTTGTGATGTTCTGCTCTCCTGCATACGAATTGACTTTGCCGTGCAGACAGTGGCTTTCCCAGGCCCCGGCAGGTGCACTCTGCATCCAGCACCGCATTTACGCCAAAGCCATGGGCTGCTTCCAGAGACTGGGGTGCTATGCGGGCTTGCTCCTGGGAGACCCGACACCCCTCTGATGAAAGACGTTGGCGTAGGGATCCCCGGAGGCCTCATCCAATGTTTCTTTGATAGCATGGCGGTCTCCCATGCTGCTTCCCCTCGCCCTTCATTCAGGGTCACACTTGCAGCAGGGACATGGCTCCCCCAGCCCTTATGGCTCCTCCCCATTTCCTCCACGTAGACATTTCCCTGCTGAAATCCCCTGCATTTGATCCCATCTTTGGGCCTGCTCCTTAGAAGGCCCCTGACGAAAGCAAGTAGTGCTGAGAGTGTTCTGAGAAGGCGGGTGCTGGGATGAGCACTTGGGACGGGCCCACCTACTGGTCAGGAGGCACTGGAACCACCCCTCTGGCTGTTGGGTGGGGCATGGACAGTCCTTGACACGAGGTGGAGCCCCCATTGTTAAAATCTTTGCTGGTGATGATTTGCAGGGAAGGTCTAGGTGGAGGAGAGGCCTGTGGCAGTACGATGACGTAGGCATTTGCAAAGCAAAAGGGGACAATGCCAACAAGGTCAGCAGGGTTGGGTGGCACCGCTGAGCTGCACGGCAGCCCAGCCCAAGGATAATGAAACATGGACGGCTGCCAATGAAGAGTCCTGGACTAAGCACAGAGCCAGGGGGCTTGGTGCCAGCTCACAAAGAAGCCCCTGCCCCCCTCCATGGAAGGCAGACCCAGCTGAGTGGCAGACTGATGACCTGATTGTGACAGTCCCAGAGTCACAGAGAGGTTGGACTGCTCAGCCAAGGAAGACCAGGGACGTGAAGTCAGGCCCTGAAAACAGAGACAGAAACATGCGGATATGTGTCCCCAAAGATGTGGACTCTGCAACCCACCTGGACTCTCAGAACTTAGCGGGAGGTCGGCCCTTCCCAGGCAGAGCTAACACTGCTGTCACGTTTGAGCGAGCTGCTGAAACCTTTCTCACACAGGACAACAGGTGCCCTTTGAAAGCTGCCCCTCATCTTTTCACCTGACTTCCAGGTAACTGAGGTTAAATGCCAGCCTAACTTGGTCAGTGACAGATGGGACCTGGTGAGGTGAGAAAGACACAACACACCTGAAGACTCCCAAGAACCAGCTGGCAAGGACCAGGAGGGGCCAGGGACACACTTGGGATGGGACGTATTTCCCCTATTAAACAATAGACCGGGCATGGTGGCTCAAGTCTGTAATCCCAGCACTTTGGGAGGCCGAGGTGGGCCAATCATTTGAGGTCAGGAGTTCGAGACCAGCCTGGCCAACATGGTGAAACCCCATCTGTACTAAAACTACCAAAAAATTAGCCGGGCGTGGTGGCAGGCACCTGTAATCCCTGCTGCTAGGAAGGCTGAGGCAGGAGAATTGCTTGAACCCAAACAAGGTGGAGGTTGCAGTAAGCCAAGATCGTGCCACTGCACTCCAGCCTGTGTGACAGAGCGAGACTCCATCTCAAAATAATAATAATAATGATGATGATAAGGTAACATTCACAGCTCTATGAGTTTTTAGCAACCATACAGTCGTGTCACCTCCACTCAAATCCCCGGTGCCATTTTGTGGTCAAACGTTCTTTCCCCACTCCCAGGCCCTGGCAACCAGTGATCTTTTTCTTGTTTCTGTAATATTGCTTTTTCCAGAATGCCGTACGTTCTGGGATCATACAACAGGGAATCTTCCAAGCCTGGCTTCTTTCACGTAGGCTGATGCCTTGAGATTCGTTCGTGTTGTGTGCCTCTATGGTTTGCCCCTTGCTTTGCGAGGTAGGACTCCCAATTACAGATGTGCCACAGTTTATCCACTTTTATCCACACTTTATCCCAAGTTGAGGGGCAGTTTGGGCTTTCTCTGGCTTTTGGCAATTACAAACAAACATTCCTATGCAGGTTTTTGTGTGAACACAGATTTTTATTTCACTTGGATAAATGTCTTTGAGTAGGATTGCTGAGTCTTATGCTAAGTGTACGCTTAATTTTATAAGAAACTGCCACGCCGATTTCCCCAGGGGCCATACCATTTTCTCTCCCACCAGTGGTGTACAGAGTTCCATTTCTGCCACCCCTGCCAGCACTCGACATGGAAACTGTTGCCATTCCAAGGAGTATATAGTGTTACTTCGTGGGTTTTAATTTACATTTTCCTAATTACTAATTATGCGGAGCACATTTTCATGCACTTATTTGCTATATATATATATATATATATATATATATATATATGAAGTGTCTGTTTAAATCTTTTGCCCTTTCTTTTTTTTTTTCAGATGGAATCTTGCTCTGTTGCCCAGGCTGGACTGCAATGGCATGATCTCAGCTCACTGCAACCTCCGCCTCCCAGGTTCAAGCAATTCTCTTGCCGCAGCCTCCTGAATAGCTGGGATTACAGGCGTGTGCCACCACGCCCAGCTAATTTTTGTATTTTTTTTTTTTTTTTTTAGCAGAGATGGGGTTTCACCGTGTTGGTCAGGCTGGTCTCAAACTCCTGACCTCAAGTGATCCACCTGCCTCAGCCTTCCAAAGTACTGGGACTGCAGGTGTGGGCCATGCTCCCGGCCCCTTTTGCCCATTTTTAATGTAAATCAGTGTAACCTCTATGGAAAACAGTGTGGAGATTCCTTACAGAGCTAAAAGTAGACCTACCATTCGATCCAGCAATCCCACTCCTGGGTATCTACCCAAAGGAAAAGAAGTCATTCTATGAAAAAGACCCTTGCACGGGTATGTTTATTCCAGCACAGTTCACAATTGCAAAGATCTGGAACCAACCTAAGTGCCCATCGACTAACGAGTGGCTAAAGAAAATGCGGCACAGATACACCATGGAATACTGCTCAGCCATAAAAACGGAGCAAAATAATGCCTTTTGCATCAACTTAGATGGAGCTGGAGGCCATTATTCTAAGTGAAGTAACACAGGAGTGGAAAATAAAAAACCGTATGTTCTCACTTTTAAGTGAGAGCTAAGCTGTGAGTATACAGAGGCATACAGAGTGATGTAACGGACTTCAGAGACTCAGAAGAGGGGCGGCGAGAGGGGGCTGGAGATTTTTAAAATGACACTTTTAGGTACGATGTACACTACTCAGGTGACACGTGCACCAAAATCTCAGAATTCACCACCATAGAATTCATCGATGTAACAAAAAAATCACTTGTACCCCAAAAGCTATTGAAATAAAAATTAATAAAATAAATAACAAAATAAATAATAAATATTTTGCCCATTTTCCATACTTAGTTGTTTTCTTCTTATTGTTTTTTTTTTTTTTTTTTTTTTTTTTTTTTTGAGACAGGGTCTTGCTCTGTCGCCCAGGCTGGAGTGTGGTGGTGCGATCTTGGCTCACTGCAACCTCCGCCTCCCAGGTTCAAGTGATTCACCCACCTCAGCCTCTCAAGTAGCTGGGAATATAGGCGTGCACCACCGCACCCAGCTAATTTTTGTATTTTTTGGTACAGATAGGTTTTCACCATGTTGGCCAGGCTGGTCTCAAACTCCTGACCTCAAGTGATCCACCCGCCTAGACCTCCCCAAATGCTAGGATTACAGGCATGAGCCACTTGCCCAGTCATGATTTTTAAGAAGTCTTTTTTTAGCTTTATTTTTTTAAAACAAAATGAGTCGGGGTCTTGCTATGTTGCCCAGGCTGGTCTCGAACACCTGGGTTCAATTGCTCTTCCTGCCTCAGCCTCTCAAACTGCTGGGATTACAGGCGTGAGCCATTTTGCCCAGCCAGACTTCAAGAATTCCTTAAAGACTGATACATGTCTTTTATCAGATAATATGTTTTCAAATGTTTTCTCTCCATCTGTGGCTTGCATTTTCACTCTCCTAACAGTGCCTCTCCAAACACAGAATTTCTTAATTGTGATGAAGTTCAACTCATCACTTTTTGTATTTTATGAAGTGTGCTTTTGGCCTCATGTCTAAGACATGTTTGCCCAATACGAGGCCACAAAGACTTTCTCCTAAATTTGAATGTAAACCTATGATTTGTTTGGAGGTAGTGTTCTGTGGCATGATGTGTACCTTGAAGTTCACTTTTTGCACACAGATACGCAGTTATTCCAGCAGCGTTTGTTACAGAGACCAGGAGTTGTCCATTTATGTGCGGCTCTGTTTCCAAACTCTCTATCCTGTTTCACTGGTTTATTTATTTATCTCATGGTTCCTCAATCTTGACATTATCAGCATTTGGGGCCAGACCATTCTTTGGTGTGGAGCCGTCCTGTGCATCATAAAGTATTCAGCGGCATCCCTGGCCGCTGCCCATCCAATGCCAGCAGCACCCTCCCCACAAGTTTAACAAACAAAATATCTTGAGATATGGCTGCCTCAGTCAACAAGGGGCTGACAGAACAGAGTGCCACAGATTGCGTGACCTAAACAATAGAAATTCAATTTCTCGCAGTTCTAGCGGTCAGAAGTCCAAGATCCCAAAGTGCTGGGCTTACAGGCGTGAGCCGTGGCGCCTGGACAAATTTTTGTATTTTTGGTAGAGGCGAGATTTCACTGTGTTGGCCAGGCTGGTCTTGAACTCCTGGCCTCAAGCAGTCTGCCCACCTCAGTCTCCCACAGTGTTGGGATCACAGGCGTAAGCCACCGTGCCCAGGCAGGTTTACATTTTTTAAAATCAAGTAGGGTAGACTTTTCCTTTTTCAGATGTGACTTTTTTTTTTCATTTCTGTGCATATTTTAGAATGAGTTGGGAATGTTCTTTCCTCTTCAATTTCCTGCAAACATGAGTGTGGATTTGGTGTTAAGTCTTCTTTGCATGTTTGGTAGAATTTGCCTGTAAAGCTGCCTGGGCCAGGAGGTTTCTTTGTGGGAAGTTTTGTTTTTGCTTTTGTTTTTGTTTTTTAAAGCCAAATTTTACGTATTAAATAAATACAGGGCTACTCTGGTTATCTTTTTCTTCTTGAGTAAGCTTTGAAAGTTTGTGCCTTTCATAAATTTTGTCCATTTAATCTAAGCTGTTAAATGCATCAACATTAAATTGCTCATATTATTCCTTCTCAATTCTTTTAACACTTAGTAGAACCTACGATGATTATGCTGTTGTCATTCCTGATGTTAGTAATTTGTGTCTTTTCTCTCCCTTTTTCCCCTTGATGAGTCTAGCTAAGAATTTATCAGTTTTATTGATCTCAAAGAATGAGATTTGGCGTCACTGATTTTCTCTATTTTTGTTCTGTGTTTCATTGATTGTTCACTCTGATCCTTTAAATGTACTTTTTTTCTTTTTTTTTAATTATTTGCTCCTTTCTCTCATTACTTAAGGTGAAAACTGAGGTCATGAATTGGAAAACTTATTTTTGTTGCTGTTCTTTTCTTTTTTTTTTTTTCCAGATGCGGTCTTGCTCTGTGACCCAGGCTGTAGTACAGTGGCACAATCACGGCTCACTATAGCCTCAACAACCTAGGCTCCAGTGACCCTCCCACCTTCAGCCTCCTGAGTAGCTGGGACTACAGGCATGCACCACTGCACCCAGCTAATATTTTTGATTTTTAGTACAGACAAGGGCTCACTATATTTCCCAGACTGGTCTCGAACTCCTGAGCTCAAGCAATCCTCTCTCCTCAGCCTCCCAAATGCTGGAATTATAGGCATGAGCTACCATGTCCAACCTGGAAAACTTCTTTTCTAACATGGACATTTAATGCTATAAATTTGTGAAAACACAAATTTAGATGTAGCTTTGATTTTCTTTTAGTTTGAAATAATTTTGGGTTTCTCTTTTAATTATTCTTTGGCCCGTGGATTACTTAGCAGTATGCTATTTAGTTTCCAAATATGTGGGATTGAATTCCATAGGGTCAGATAATATACTCTGTGGGACTTGGACCTCTTAAAATCTGTTGAGACTTTTTTTCTGGCCCAGAATATGGTCTATGTTGGTAAATGTTCCCTGTGCACTTGAAGAGAGTGTGTATTCTGCTGTTATTGGGTGGAGTGACCTCTAAACGCTGACTACATCCTGCTGGTTTAAAGCGTTGTTCAAGCCTTCTGTGTTCTTTTTTTTTTTTTTTTTTTTTTTTGAGACGGAGTCTCGCTCTGTCGCCCAGGCTGGAACTCAGTGGCGCGATCTCGGCTCACTGCAAGCTCTGCCTCCCGGGTTCACACCATTCTCCTGCCTCAGCCTCCCGAGTAGCTGGGACTACAGGCGCCCGCCACCACGCTCGGCTAATTTTTTGTATTTTTAGTGGAGACGGGGTTTCACCGTGTTAGCCAGGATGGTCTCGATCTCCTGACCTCATGATCTGCCTGCCTCGGCCTCCCAATGTGCTGGGATTACAGGCACCCGCCACCACGCCTGGCTAATTTTTTGTATTTTTAGTAGAGACGGGGTTTCACCGTGTTAGCCAGGATGGTCTCGATCTCCTGACCTCGTGATCCGCCCGCCTCGGCCTCCCAATGTGCTGGGATTACAGGAGTGAGCCACCGCACCCGGCCCTGTGTTCTTATTTAGTTTCCATCTGCTTTTTCTAGCAATTATGGAGGGAAGATTCTTAGTAGAAGGTTATTTATTCTCCACTGTTGAGACCCTTCTCAATATTCCACCCACATGCTCCATGAATTGTGGAATTTTCCAGCCTTTCTGCTGGGGTCAGTCACTGTCCCCAGCCCTGTGTGCGCGCCTGGCACAGTTCCCTTTGGTCCTCTCTGCTGGTTCTTTCCCTGGCTTCAAGTAGTTCTCTCCCACGCATGTGCCATTCAGTGCCCTGCTGAGGACTGAAGAGGGGACCCTCCGCATGTCTCCCAGCTCCCTGTGCAGCGCTCCACTCTCCGATGCTCTGCCCTGTGACCTCGGGCTGCCTTGGTCTTCACAAATGCTCAACTCAAGGAATACACTGAGCTTCCCCGGGGTCTCCTCTCCCTGCGCCATGACCTGGAAACACTCTGAGGGCTGAAACCTGGGGCCACTGAAGGGCTCACGTCCCAGGGCTCACCTCCCAGTCCTTTCTTGTCTGTTGTCTACCTCTTGAGAATAATGTGTTTGTCTTGGTTTTGTTGTTGTTGTTTTACATTTACAATTGTATATTTATTCTCTGTTGCTCTATCTTGACCCAAAGCAGAAGTATCCTAATTCTTTTTTTAATATATTAATCTTTTTATTTTGAGATTATTTTAGGTTTGCATGCAGTTGTAAGAAATAATAGAATATCATGAACCCTTTATCCAGTTCCCTCAATGGTAACTCCTTGCAAAACTACGGAACAATATCACAATCAGAATATTGGCATCGATATTTTCAAAACACAGACCACATTCATCACTGCCGGAACCCTGGGCGATAAACCCTAGGAGACACTAATTGGTTATCCATTTCTATAAAGTTTTCATTTCAAGGATGTTATGTAACTGAAATAAAACAGCATGTAACCTTTTGAATTGGCTTTTTATTTTTCATTCAGCATGATTCTCTGGAGATTAGCAGGCTGTGGTATGTATCAATAGTTCATTCCTTTTTCTTGCTAAACATATTCCATAAGCTGAACGAGCCCCAACTTATTTAACTGTTCGCCCATTGAAGGACGCCTGGATTTTCAGTGTGGGGCTATTATGAATAGCCCAAAGCAATTGTGTGAAAGCTTTTAGGTGAAAGCTGCAATGACTGGAATACTGCAGTAAAGTCTGTTTCCCCTGAGAAGTAGTGGGCAGGTCCACCTTGATATGATGGGGGTGTGGGAAGGCTCTCTTCGTCTCTTTCCCTGACCAAACCCAGCTGCTAAATTCGTCATTGCAAGCTGGTTGCTCGATTGTTTTTGACATCACCCTAGGGAATAAATTGCTTCACAGACTAATCCAATCAAATTCTGACTCCTTTGAAAGGAAAGGCCAGTGCTTGAGATTTCTTACTAACCCAGAAAGTCTCTTCCCAGCTCTCTCTTTCTCCATTTCTCTCCAGAAAACTAGCCATCTTAGAGTTAGGCTACGTCTCTAAAGAATCTATCAATCTTCTCCCAGTTGCCCTTCACCACAACCGCCACTGACTCTGAGAGCACCCTTAGGTTTGAACTTCATACTCTGTTGCAAATGAAGTCAGTTCCTTTTGGGAGAGACTAGGAGATCCTCTGTTCTACATCCTGCCATTCTCCCTGGACAAAATCTCTAAGCCACAGCTCTGGAACTGACGGCAGGGATCTTGGCTCACTGGTGTCATGCCTACTTTAGAAGCTGGACACTTGAGTGATGGGCAGCAGCTCCAGGTGTCCTCAGCTTGCCTCTCTCAGCATGAACCCCTCCCATAAGCTGGAGCAAAGGTGACCAGAGACCCGAGACCCAGGATTCTCAGCATGATGAACCCAGGGCAGCCTTTGCTGCATGAGTGAGACCTGAGGCTGAGTAGAGGAAGGGACCCTCACCTCTCGGACACACTCACTCAGAATTCAGCCTGAGACACAGGTAGCTGGGGGCAGGATGCTAGCACACTGACCCTCACAGGAAGAGAGCCTCACCAACTGGAAGTGAAACTACCTTTTGACAGCGAGAGAGGTCTAGCATGGCTGACTCCATCTTGCTTCTGGCTCATAGGCTGGTTGTCCTTGCTTATTCCTGGACTCAGGCCAAGCTAACTGATGCAGGATTTTTTCTCAGCCTCTTTGCTGGACTCACAGCAGAGGCTCCTCATCTACTTGGCCCAGCATGCTCAGCCCCTTGCGGGAGGGAGTGCATGAGCGAGCAAGTGTGGGATCTGGCCAGCCACTCTGAACGCTGACACGGGAGCAAACTCCACGTGGGGCCCACAGCCAGACCAGGTGTGTCACCTCGAGGAGAACATGGCAGTGCCCAGACAAGGGTGCCCGCAACCCCGAAGCCCCAGAGGGGGTGTTAGTGCTCTAATCAGCTCTTATAGTTCCACCATCCACATCCCAATGGAGGGCAATGTGTTAGCAGCTCGGTCGGCCCCTGGCCTCATCGCGTGGGGCAGCTGCCCTCTGCTGGCGAGGGCAAAGGGCCCGGGTGACATCCTTTCTAGGTACCTGCACTCTGTGGGTCCTGAGCTCTTGTCCAGCGTCCAAGAAGAATGAGGTCATGCTGGTGATTGAAGGATGGTGAAAGTGGAGACTTTTACTGAGCAATGAAAACAGCTCTCAGCAGAGAGGGGAACTGGAAAGGGGACAGGGAGGGCAGGTCGTCTTCCCCAAAGTCAGGAGATCTCTTCCTTGAAGTCAGGCCTTCTCTCTCTCTCTACCAACTGAGTCTGGAGTCTTTATAGGCCCAGGACGGGGGCAGGCCAGGCCATAGGTAGTATTGGAAAAGGCAGTATTTGATTGGTTAAAAAGGCATTATTCAAAATGAACCAATCCGGAGCGAGCAGGCAAACAAGAATAGAAGTTTTCACTCTGGGCTGCAGGTTTCAGGATGTTTTGGCTTGAAGGTGAGGTTTCACTGGGGACCCACCCCCATCTGCCTGGGATTTGTCTGCCTCCTGCCTCTATTATATCCATGGGAGGAATTTAGTTTATAGTTTAACTTGTAAGCAAGGATGATAACGGTCCCGCCCTAAAACAAATCCCCTCCTTTTTGGGGAGCTGAAACTGCCTTTATAGGACTAATGAAAGACCACAAGATTAGAATTACAGGAGGGCATGAGTTCTGCTAAAATATAGGCATAGTTTCTATAATCCCCCTCTGCTTAGGAGTCATTTGTCCAGAGATCACAAGATTTGTGGCTTCCCCAGTTGCTCCTATAGATAATATCACTGTGGTAGAATTAAGATTGGTCTTTTGAGGTGGTTTTCCAACTGACCCCATGCAGACTCGTGACTCACGACTTGTTTAACCGTTCACCCGTTGAAGGATGTCTGGGTTGCTTTCACTTTGGGGTTGTTATCCACCCAGAGGCAGATTCAGGGCACAAGGACCATTTTCCACACCCCTGTGATTGCCCCCGCAACCAATGAGGAGCACCCATTCCCCAGCCCCCCACCCACCACACTGTCCTGGAAAAACCCTAACCTTCAAGCCTTCAGGGAGACGGGTTTGAGTGATCATTCCAGTTCTTCCACCTGGCAGGCCTTGCGTTAATTAAACATTTCATTTACTGCAATACCATGTTCTCAGAGTGAACTGGTTTTGTCTGTGCAGCGGGCGGGAAGAGCCTGTCGGGCAATTACAGAAACTGGAGGAGAGATAGTCTTGCATTCCTGGCTGTACAGCCTGGAGTGGAGCTTCTGTCTCACTGGGCTGGGAGAGGGCACACGCATTGGCTCAGATACCACAGACTCACACAGTTCTCACTAAGCTTTAGTCGATTTTCTTGAATAAATGTTTCTCTATTTGAAATGGCTACAGGGCCATTTGCAGATGCTTTAAATGGTTGTTGGGGGTGGGGTTTCGTTTGTTTTTGTTTTTAAAGTCTTCACCAGTTTCACATGGAAGTGGATCTCTGGAGTTCCCCCTCATTGTCACGCTGCAGTGGGACTGCCCTGTGACTTTATTATTTCATAGCATTTGAACATAAGATAATCACAAGCTTTCAAAGGACTAAATGTTCGATGAAGAAAATGGCACAGAAAAAAAAAATGTCCCTTCTAAATAAGGACTCACTTGGTCCTCCACCAGCAACCAGGAGCACTGCCAAGTGTGTCTCTCTCCTTATGACGTGACCTTTTATCTTTAAAGGACACTGAATTTCACTCACATTATTATTTCTTACACAGTGTGTTTTTATTATTCAAGGTCACTAAGACTTTCTCCTGTTTTATTCCAAATGTTTTATTGTTTTATATTCAACATTTAGGTCTATGATGGGCATAGAGTTAATTTTATATAAAGTATGAGGTTGAGGTTGAGGTTTTGTTTTCGTTTTGTCTACGGCGGTTCAATTGTTCCAATGCCATTTTTTGGAAACGGTTCTCCTTTCGCGCGCTGGTATGAATGCGTTCCCCAAAATTCATGCGCTGTAACTTAACCCCTGTTATGGTGTTACTAAGAGGTGGGGTCTCTTGAGAAGTGATCAAGTCAGGGCTTTGCTCTCAGGCATAGATTAGTGCCTCATTAAAGGGCTGGGGGGGATGAGCTTGGGTCCTTTTTGCCCCTTATGTTTTCCACCAAAAGGACACAGCAAAGAGCCTCCACCAGATGCAGAATACTGGCACCTTGATCTGGGGACGTCTAGCCTCCAAAACTGTGAGAAATGTACTTCTATTGTTTGTAAAATACCCAGTCACAGGTATTTTGTGATTGCAGCAGACACTTCTCCATTTAGTTGTCTTGCCCCTTTGTCATAAATTAGCGCAGTCTTGTGTGTGCGAGTGACATCTCAACTCCGTGCTTTTCCCTTGATCTGTGTGTCTACCCCTCTGCCCATACCACACTGTCTACATTGCTGTCGCTTTATGGAATGTCTCAAAGTCAGCTAATGTCATTCTTCCAACTATATTTCTTGTTTCAAAATTGTTTTGGCTATTCTATTTTCTTTTCTTTTTTAAATGTTTTCTTATTACACTTTAAGTTCTAGGGTACATGTGCACAACGTGCAGGTTTGTTACATATGTATACATGTGCCATGTTGGTGTGCTGTACCCGTTAACTCGTCATTTACATTAGGTATATCTCCTAATGCTCTCCCTCCCCCCTCCCCCCACCCCACGACAGGCCCCAGTGTGTGATGTTCCCCTTCCTGTGTCCAAGTGTTCTCATTGTTCAGTTCCCACCTATGAGTGAGAACATGTGGTGTTTGGTTTTCTGTCCTTGCGATAGTTTGCTGAGAATGATGGTTTTCAGTTTCATCCATGTCCCTACAAAGGACATGAACTCATCATTTTTTATAGCTGCATAGTATTCCATGGTGTATATGTGCCACATTTTCTTAATCCAGTCTATCATTGATGGATATTTGGGTTGGCTCCAAGTCTTTGCTATTGTGAATAGTGCTGCAATAAACATACGTGTGCATGTGTCTTTATAGCAGCATGATTTATAATCCTTTGGGTATATACCCAGTAATGGGATGGCTGGGTGAAATGGTATTTCTAGTTCTAGATCCTTGAGGTTATTCTATTTTCTTTTGCCTTTCCTCATAAATTTCATAAACAGCTTATGAATATCTACCAAAAAATCCTGCTAAGATTGTTGTTGGAATCCAATTAAATCTGCACATCAGTTTTGGGGAAGTTGACGTCTTTATTATTTTGTGTCTTCAAATCTATGAATGCACGACTCTCTCCACTTATTTAGGTATTTTTTGATTCCTTTCATCAGTGTTTTGTATTTATAACATGTGCATTCTGTACATATTTTGTTAGATTTATAACTTTTTATTTTTGGACGTATTTCAGAAAACACACTATGTTTTAGGGCAGTTTTAGGTTCACAGCAAAATTGAGTTGAATGTATAGAAAATTACCGTATTTCACCTGCTGCCACACCTACATAACGTCCCCTGCTGTTAGCATCCTACACTAGGGTGGCCCATTTGTCATCATTGATGAGCCAACATTGACACGTGGTGAGCACCCAAAGTCCAGACCTAACCTTCACCTCCACTCTTCATGTTGTACGTTCTACAACACAAATGATGAACGTGGAATGCCATTTATTCACCATCACAGTATCATATAGAACAGTTTTGGGCCGGGCACGCTCACTCCTGTAATCCCAGCACTTTGGGAGGCCAAGGCAGGTGGATCACCTGAGGTCAGGAGTTTGAGACCAGCCTGGCCAACATGGTGATATCCCACACACACCTCGGTCATGTGTGTCTGCTCTTTTTTCTTGTCTGTCTTGCTACAGGCTTATCTTTTTTGATCTTTATTTATTGATCTTTATTGATCTTTTCAAAGAACCAGATTTTGGTTTAATTAATTTTCTTGTTTTATTTTTTTTATTTTTTTGAGATGGAATTTCACTCTGTTGCCCGGGCTGGAGTGTGGTGGCACGATCTCAGCTCAGTTCTCTGCAACCTCTGCCTCCTGGGTTCAGCTATTCTCCTGCCTCAGCCTCCCAAGTAGCTTACATTACAATCATGGGCCACCACGTCAGGCTAATTTTTGTACTTTTAGTGGAGATGGGGTTTTGCCGTGTTGGCCAGGCTGGTCTCGAACACCTGACCTCAAGTGATCCACCCACCTCGGCCTCCCGAAGTGCTGGGATTATAGGCGTGAATCACCACGCCTGGCTGGTTGAATAAATTTTCTCCGTTGTTTTGCTATTTTCTATTGCATTGATTTCTAATTTTATATGCATACATACACACTTATCCATAAATTTATATATTTTTTCCTGCTTGCTTTCAGATTATTTGTTCCTTGAAGGTTATGTAGAATTAACCAATGAAACCATCTGGCCTTGAAGGGTTTTTTTGTGTGGGAAGGCTTTTAACTACAAATTCTGTTTCTTGATAGAGATATTCAGGCTCCCTCTTCCTTCTTGAGTTTGGTGGTTCATGTCTTTCGAGCAATTGGTCCCTTTCCTCTTAGTTTCCAAATGTATGCGGCGTGCAGTATTCCTGCATTATCCTTTTAATGTCCGTGGGACCCGAAGTGATATCCCTTTTCTCATTCCTGATATTGGTAATTTGCATCTTCTTTCTTTTTCATCTTGCCAGTCTTGCTAAAATTTAAAAAATATGTTGATCTTTTCAAAGAACCAGCTTGACTATATTCTTTGTTTATATCTTTTTAATGGTTGTTCTAGAGTACGGGTATATTGCTTACTTTTGCACTGTGTACTTAGAATCGATATTTCACTAATTTAGGTGGAATCCAGGAATCTTCCCGCAATAGAGACCACTTGTCTCATAAATGACAAATACTCATTTTGAAAACCCCACCAGAGAATGGTGTGATTTTTGTTTACAACATCAAACACATTTTGAAGAGAATAACCCATTAGATTTACCCATATGTTCACCTAAAACTCTGAGGATAGGAAACTTTCTCTCTCAGAAGAGCCTTCGTGGTCCCAAGACAGTGGGTGAGCCCATTGTTTTAAATATTTAGCTGGTATTTTATCTCCTCATGTCCTCATTCATGGCCCTTGGTGTCTCCATGTGTCTCTGACTGCGGGTGCTGGCTCTTGCCCACGGTGGCTGCTTTCCTTGTGTGCTTGTGGTTTTCTGCTGTGAGCTCATGTTTGCCTCGGCTGTAGGTGGGGAGCTCAGGGCCTTGGCTGAGGACACAGACTTTGTCTGAAGTTTTGCTGCACTTCCTTCCACCGGGCTGCTCTGGGTCCTATCAATTCAGGACCACTTTAAGTGACTTGCTCAGCTTGTGGTTTTCTGGACCACAAAACTGATGCCAATGTGTGCCTCCCACCTGGATAATGGTGGGCCTGAAGTTGTCACTTCTCAAAGGAAATGTTTTTATCACCCATCTCAGACTCAGCAAACGTATTTCTCTGCTGTCTCCTTCTGGCAGTGGCTGGGTTGCCTTCTAGCTGCCCCCATGAGAGGGCACAGTCCCTTCCTTCTGGCAGCGGCTGGGTTGCCTTCTAGCCACCCCCATCAGAGGGCACAGTCCCTTCCGGGATCTCTGCTTTGGGCAGCAGCTCTGAGCTCCAACCACCCACTGTGCAGAACAAAGACTTGTCTTCTGCATTGCACCCTCCCACGCAGCTCTTAAAACCAAATCCTCTGAGTGCGTGTGCATGCTGCGCTGCACTCTTACAATTCAGGACCCAGCAACAGCCGCGAACGGGGCAAATTCCATGCAACACAGTGGATGAACCTCGCCAACATAGTCTGGGGCCAAAGGAGCTGGCCATGAGAGGACACGGCCTACGATGGCGTTTTATGAAGTCCAGTAACAGACAAAACTGGTGTCTGATGGGATAATTCAAGCTCATGGTTACTCTTGGTGGGGAGTGGGTAGCAATTAGAAATGGGTGCTTCTGGGGTGCCGGAATGTTCTATTTCTTGTTCTGAGGGCCAGTTCTAGGAAGGTGTTCAGCTTTTGTGGAAACTTATTGAGTTCTACATGGATACCTTGTCCACTTTTTTATAGTTTTATTTTAATACAATGTGGCAACAGCAGCGAGGGACCCTCTTCCCTGAGGGGCACCTCTATTCCACAGCTGTCACCCCAACTGACTCTTCACTCTGAAACGTGACAGAGCGTATTTCTGCTGTAAACTGTGCTGCTCCCTCCTCCAGGTGATGAAGCCTATGTGTCCCCTCTTTCCCTTTTTGCTCTGACTGCTAGGGAGCTCACATTAAAGGCTGGGCTCTCTGGTTGTCATTTTCCTGGATCTGGATGCCATGATATCGATGTCTCTTCTACCCTTTCTGGTCTTTTTTGGGTGGTTTTATTCCTGGGGAACTTTCACTCTAACATAATCCACACTTTTTGGGTGAGGCAGCCGGCATCCAAGAAAATCAGGGTAGCATCAGGCCTTGGGGACCAAGTGACATGGGCTGAGATTCTGGCTCTGTGGTTTTCACTTCCGTAACCGGGATAGAGGATGCAAAGCATTGAACTCAGAGCCTGGCAACATGATACAGACTCCGTGAGTATGAGTGCGATGATTATTTTTGAATCATAATGCATCCATGGACACACTGGAAGCACCAAATTAGACCCGAATGGAGTGGTCAGCAGGGAGACCTCCTGGCCAAGGATGGCCAGGCAGAAAGATGAGAGGCTGCTCCCCAGGGCCACCAAGTCACTGATGGCCTGGGGCTCAGGGGCTGAGGGCAGAGACAGTCAGGAAGGACTGGCAAGGCAGCCATACTGGGGCCTCAGGAAAAGGCGCCACTGACTGGCCAAGGTCCTCCCCAGGGCCTGCCCTGCACTACCTCTGCCCCCACATTTGCTGTCAGAGCCATGGTGAGACGGGGCCTGGGATAGGAGGTATCTTCCTGGTGATGTCCCTGAGTGTGGCTCCCGAGAGGAGAGCAGTCTCTGGCCAAATGTTCTGTTGTGGTTATGAGCAGCATTTGCAGTCGGACTGAGAGGTTAGAACTGCACCCATGCCACCTGCGTGTGGGGCCATGCCCAGGTGTGTGCCAGCTCTGCATCTCAGTCACAGCTGCTATGGGAGTCAAGAAAAAGGACACCCACCTTGTGGTCCCTGGAGGACTGGATAGGCTGTCTCCACCCAGGACCTGAGCTGCAGGGGAGGGTTCTGATTCCCTGTCAGCTGTGAGCACGTGGGATGCAGGAGGAGCTCAGTAAACACACATTCAGTGACGGGCCGGGAATGGGCTGACCCTGCAGGCAGATTCACTCAGGCAAGAGCTGCAGGGAAAGAGATGCAGTGGTAGGCGGTGCTTGTTATTTTGAGGTGTGTTCCTTCAGGACCTAGTTTATTCAGAGTTTCTGGCATGAAGGGATGTCAGCCAGGCACAGCGGCTCACGCCTATACTCCCAGCACTTTGGGAGAGCAAGGCGGGCGGATCACTTGAGGTCAGGAGTTTGAGACCAGCCTGGCCAACATGGTGAAACCCCGTCTCTGCTGGGCGCGGTGGCTTATGCCTGTAATCCCAGCACTTTGGGAGGCAGAGACGGGTGGATCACAAGGTCAGGAGATCGAGACCATCCTGGCTAACATGGTGAAACCCCGTCTCTATTAAAAATATAAAAAAAAATTAGCCGGGCGTGGTGGCAGGTGCCTGTAGTCCCAGCTACTCAGGAGGCTGAGGCAGGAGAATGGTGTGAACCCGGGAGGTGGAGCTTGCAGTGAGCCGAGATTGCACCACTGTACTCCAGCCTGGGCGACAGAGTGAGACTCCGTCTCAAAAAAAAAAAAAAAAGAAACCCCGTCTGTACTAAAAATACAAAAATTAGCCGGGCATGGTGGCAGAAACCTGTAATCCCAGCTACTCGGGAGGCTGAGGCAGGAGAATCACTTGAACCTGGGAGATGGAGTTTGCAGTGAGCCAAGATCACACCACTGCACTCCAGCCTGGGCAACAGAGCGAGACTCCATCTCAAAAAAATAAAAAATAAAATGAAGGGATGTTGAATTTTAACAAAAGCCTTTTCTGCCTGTATTGAGATGATCATGTGGCTTTTGTCTTTAGTTCCGTTTATGTAATGAATCACATTTATTCATTTGTGTAGGTTGAACCAACCTTGCATCATAGGGGTAAGGCCTACTTGATCGTGGTGGATAAGCTTTTTGATGTGCTGCTGGACTCATAAATCATTCTATCATAAACACACATGCACACGTTTATTACAGCCCAATTCACAACAGTAAAAACAAGGAATCAACCAAAATGCCCATCAATTGTAGACTGGATAAAGAAAATGTGGCACATATACACCATGGAATACTATGCAGCCATAACAAAGAATGAGATCGTGTTATTGGCAGGAACATGGATGGAGCTGGAGGCTATTATCCTTAGCAAACTAACTCAGGAACAGAAAACCAAATACTGGATATTCTCACTTACAAGTGGGGGTGGAATGAGGAGAGCACATGGACACACAGAGGGGAGCAACACACTGGGGCCTATCGGAGGGTGGACGGTGGGAGGAGGGAGAGGATCAGGAAAAATAACTAATGGGTACTTGGTTTAGTGATGAAATAATTTGTACAACAAACCCCCATGACACGAGTTTACCTGTGTAACAAATCTGCACATGCTCCCTGAACCTCAAATAAAAGTTTTTTTTGTTTGTTTGTTTGTTTGTTTTAAAGCCACAGTGAGAGCAAGCCTCATGGGTGGGAAATGTGTTTATTTAAAGGGTCTCAGGTCCTGCTGAACCTTAACTGAGAGAGAAGCCGCGAGAGTGGCCGTCTCCTGGGGAGGAAGGTTTGGAGCCTTTGGGGATGGGGGCAGATCTCCACTGCCTCCCCGACCTGCAGCTGCTCTAGAGAAGGAGGACAGGAGGACTGATGGACAGGGAGGGCCCTGTCGCAGCAGGACCTGGCAGGGAGCTTGTTGGAGGAGATTGCAGGGCTCTGGGAACTGGGAAGGTGTTGGGCACCAGGAGAGAGGAAGAGAGTTCTCATGAAGAATGACCAGAAAGGGAGTCAGGAAAGGCCAAGAACCTGGAGTCATCACCTTCTGCAAAATTCAGGGGACACAACTCCTGGAGCTGTGGGACAGCCAGAACTGAAATGCAGCACTGGTCACTTCTTGGGTGGTGTGGATATGCTGGACTCACCTGAGGTCCAAAGTCAGAGCCTCAGATTTTGCACTGGCAGCAAATGGGGACACAGCAGCTGGCCTGGGAACAGCAGGGCTTGCAGCAGCTGGACTGGCAGCAGGATGACCCACAGCCTGAGGAACAGTAGCAGGGCTTGCAGCAACTGCACTGGGAGCAGCCACAAGAGCCACAGCCTCCCTTGGAGCCCCCACAAGAGCCACAGCCCCCTTTGGAGCCCCCACAAGAGCCACAGCACCCCTTGGAGCCCCCACAAGAGCCACAGCTGGTGCAGGAACAGGCTGGCACACAGCAGCACACGGGCTTGCAGCAGCAGATGGGCACACAGCAGCTGGACCCACAGCCCCCACAGCCAGAGCCACAGCCCCCACAGCCGGAGCCACAGCCTCCAGAGCAGCCACAGCAGCCCATGGTTCTGGTGGATTGAGGGTGGAGCAGGTAGAGGAGCAGGTGAGAGGGAGGTGTGCAGGTATGGAGCTCCCTGAGCCTGGGCCCTTTATATCCCTGCCCAGGATCAGGTGTGATGCTGGACACACAGTCATTTCCTGGTTCCTGTTTGTGCCATTTCCTTAGGGAAACTGTGTTTGTTTGCTTAATCTTAAAATAACCTCAGTGGTGTACATAGTTTTGCACTTTTTCTTTAGTTCATGATTTCCCTCACATGTCCTCTGAAAAATGACAAGGCCCCTGTCCTTCTGTGTTAGTAAGGGCAACGGGAGCAGGGACTTGGCTTTGATGCTGCGCTCATCTTTGCTACCAGTGTTCATTTCCTGGGGCTGCCATAACAAATGGCCCCCAACGGGAGCCTTAAAGCGGACATTGGTGCCTCGCGGTTCAGGCAGACAGAAGTTCAAGATCAAGTTCTCCGTGGGCCACACACTCTCTGAAGGCTCCAGGGAAGGATCCTTTCTGCGTCTTCCAGCTTCTGGTGGTGGCCAGACATTCTTGGCTTGTGGCTGCATCCCCCGTCTCTGCCTCCATCCTCAAGTGGGCTTCTCCACTGAGTGTCTGTGTCTGACCTCCTCCCCTCCTTTCTCTTACAGGGACACCAGACATTGGATCAGGGCCCACCCTACTCCAGTACAACCTCATCTTAACTTGATTACATCTGCAAAGACCCAGTGTCCAAATAAGATCACATTCAGAGTTTCCAGGTGGACAGGAATGAGGGGGTCCTATTCAACCCACTTCTATGCTGATGCTGATGCTGACTTGACTCCGAAAGTCTCAGGGGAAGTTTACAGAAGGCACAGGGAGACCACGCATGGAGACACCCTAGAGCAGGTGACCCCATCCTGGGCTATCACCCGTGGGTAGAACAGGATGAAACCCAGGATCTCATAAGAGCCAGGATCAGGAAATACTCAGGATCAGAATAGGACTCAGGATCAGGGCAGGCTCAGGACAGGACTCAGAAACAGGGCAGGAACCAGGATCAAGACAGGACTCAGGATCAAAACAGGACTCAGGATCAGAACAGGACTCAGCATTAGGGCAGGTCTCAGGATCAGGCAGGACCCAGGATCAGGACAGGACTCAGAATCAGGGCAGGACCCAGGATCAGGGCAGGATCAGGACAGGACTCAGGATCAGGGCAGGACGCAGGATCAAGACAGCACTTTGAATCACAATAGGACTCAGGATCAGGGCAGGATCAGGACAGGACTCAGGATCGGGGCAGGTCTCAGGATCAGGACAGGACCCAGGATCAGGACAGGACTCAGGATCAGGGCAGAACCCAGGATCAGGGCAGGTCTCAGTATCAGGGCAGGACCACAGGATCAGGGCAGGAATCAGGATCAGGACAGGACCCAGGATCAGGGCAGGTCTCAGGATCAGGGCAGGACACAGGATCAGGGTAGGACCCAGGATCAGGACAGGACTCAGGGCAGGATCAGGTCAGGACCCAAGATCAAGACAGGACTCAGGATCAGGACAGGATTCAGGATCAGGACAGGTCTCAGGATACCTGGGATCCTGCTGTCTTGGTTGGAAAGAGGGGGCCTGAGTGCAGACCCAGGAATCGTGACCCTGCAGAGTCATTTCCCTGGAGCTGGATGACTCCAGGCTCAGTGGTTTAGGGCTTAGAGATGCTGTCAGTCAGCACACTGTGAGGCACCAAGGGCATAGTCCAATGAACCGGCAGAGTTGGAGAAACAAAGGAGGTGGCAGCTCAGGAGCCCCCCACCTTTGGGCTTTGCTGACAGAGGAGGACACAGGGATAGAAACTCTGAGAAAGCCAAAGCTGTGGG
Source organism: Homo sapiens (assembly GCF_000001405.40). Taxonomy (NCBI): domain Eukaryota; kingdom Metazoa; phylum Chordata; class Mammalia; order Primates; family Hominidae; genus Homo; species Homo sapiens. The sequence continues at coordinate 169,150 of NT_187657.1, read as the reverse complement.
AGGGTCCCAGTGCCCCACCCCACACACAGGACAATGGCCGCCCACAGACCACGGGGCCTGTGGCTTGTATGCCCAGTCAGGTGACGACGCCATTCAGAAACTAGATCTCATAGGGTGCCCAGCTGCTGAATCTCAGGCCAGGTCTGCAGTGAGTGCAGTGCCCCAGGCCTGGAACACTCTGATACCATAGGGACCCAATGCTGAGTGCACCCAGGAGCTGTGGGTCTGAAACAGTGGTCAGAGGTCACCGACATGTGGAGGAGGCCCCTAGAGTGTGGGAGACAGAACCCCCAGGTGTCAGTCTTGGCCGAAGGCTTTGCAGGACTGAGCAGGTGGGGAAGAAGGGCAGGGAGCAGGGCTGCCATAGGAGAGACCTGTCCTTGGATGTGGGTCTCCAGAGCAGGGCAGGGCAGAGCACCGGCGTGGAGGTGTTTTGTGCATATGCTGGATACCTGGCAACTATGGCAGCGTGGGCTCAGGACGGGCTCCCGAATTTTCAGGGTCCAAAGCAACGTGACAGCGCAGGCCCCTTGTCCGAGCATGGCAAAGGAATTCAAGACCATCAGAGCCTCACGCTGAGCAGGGTCCTTCTCACTTGCATGGCCCCTGCATCTCCAATCCCCACTGCATCCCGTGCGCCCGGATATCTTCGGGAATTAGTGCATTCTTGTGAAACACGGGGTTTTATTTTGAGGCGCGTTTTCAATTCTGCAACGGGGGTGTGCACGGCCTTGCTCTACCGGTCACCCTCCTGCTTCAGCTCTGGGTCTGAAGGTGGCTCCACGTGGCTCCGGGGTCACTACATCCACACCCAGGGACCCCCACCTCGGCCGCTTCCAAGCTCTGCCCCGCCGTGTGCCTCGAGGACAATCGCCTGGGGACAGACCCGCCCGCCGCCCCACCAGTCGTGTGACATCAGGCAGTCCACAGCCTCCCTGGCCCTCAGTATCTTCATCTACACAACGAGAGGAGCATTGACCACTTTGCAGAGCTGCTTTGGAGGCCAGAGGTCATGAAATGAAGTTGCCGGCCTCCGCTGACCCACGGTTGTCGTTTTAGCTCTCCGCTTCCTGACCCGGGGTTCTCGGTCTCCCCTTTAGTCTCTCTTCCTCCCCAAAGCGCAGTGCCTCCTCCCCCGGGCCAGTAGGGCCCAAGGCTGCAGGGATGCGGCTGGAGGAGCGCAGCGGGAGGGGTCAGAGCTGCCCGCGGCAGAAGCGCAGATGAGCAGTCCTTGAGCGCCCCCTGGGGGCCGTGAGCTCCGAGCCTGTGGCCGAGGGCGGGGAGGCGCCTGCTGGGCTCTGCGGAGGTCACAGGCAGGGACTTGGGGGTTCCTAGGGGCCCCGGCACAGGCTGGCACGGAGGAGGAGGCATCGCCCGGCCCCCCCTCGGGGCTGTAGCTCAGAGCAGCCCTGGTGCCATGACCACCCCCCAACCCCTGGCCCAAGCGGGCAGAGCCCTCGGTGTGGGGAGACCTTCCCTTCTGCCCCTTTCTCCTGCGTGTTGACCTCACAGAACAGGAAGGGGGCCAGCAGGAACATGGCAGGGGGCGTGACAAGGGCAAGGCCCTGGGGTCGGCTCGCCTGCTCCTTGCCCTGTGCCAGCCGACCTGGGCCTCCCTGTCTCCGCCACATCCCTCGCCTGTCTCGACCATGGCCTCCGTCCCCAGGCACTGGCCCCTGGTCCCCAGGCTCTAGGTGGTGGCAACCCCTCGCTCGGGGCCACTGGGGGCAAAGAGGGGGGGCAGCTCCTGCCTCTGCTGTCTCTGGGTAGACTCCCTTTCTGTCCCCACGGTAGCAGCTCTGGTTTTCTCTGCACCTGAGTCCCTGTCCCCATCCCCCAGAAGGTTCCTGTGTCCGGGGAAGGGTCCTTCGTCCCTTGCGACTTTCTCCAAGTTGCTAGATATGCACTCCGAGTCTCCTTTTCTGACCTGTAAAATTGTGATGGGAGTAACAGGGCCGTCGCCATTCCTGGGGAAACGAGACTGCAGATCCTGCGGCCCGGGCTGGCCGAGAAGCGCCACCTGGTGGCAGGAGGGCCCCGCGGGGCGGCCGGCGAGTGGGAAGCAAAGGCTCCTCGCAAGACCACTCCCCTAGCCCCGGGGTCGGCAGCTCTCCAGGGGCCATGTCCCCGGCTGGTTCGGCGCCCAGGGACAGCACCCCAGACCAACTTGCGCATTCCTTCCAATCACAATGACTTTGATGCTTTTGAAAAAACAAAAATTAAATTAAAAAATAAAATAACACATCCTTTAAGTTTTGTATCTGTGGGCTCCTCTTTCTGGGACTCAGGGCGAGTGCCTAGCCCGCCCGTGCACACCGTCAGAGCAGCGCAGCCAGACCCCAGCCTCTGCTCAGCCAGGGTCTCTAGGGAAGGTGCCTGCAACCAAGCCCTCGTTTCTAGTTTGTAATGCACGGCTTCTATTTTGTGGCATGCACTGATGCTGGTTTAGAACGGCTCCCACCCTTCCCTGTCTTCGTAGCAGGTAGTGAGTAGCTGTGACCCTCTGAGAACAGGACAGGGGCTCACCCCTCCAAGCCATCTCCTTCCTGCTCCTCAGCCCTGGAGAGTGGAAGCGGGTGCGTGGGAAAGTTGAAGGCTTCATGCTCAGGGCTGGCATGGCCAGGGGCACCGAAGGAGGTCGGGGGAGGAGGGACATTCAAGAGCCGGGCTCTCAGAACCTGGGTGTCTGTGGCTTCCTGGGGATGCAGGGATGGATGGAGTTGTGCCTGGCCAAAATCTCACCCTGCACCGTCACTCCAGCCCCTGCCCCTCCCCGGGGTGAGAGGCGGCCTCTGGCTTCCCACCTGCCCACAGGGCCTTGCCTGCCTGGGGCCCAGCAGGTGGTTCAGCTTAGCTCCATGACTAATTTCCCTCCGCCTTCACCTGAACACACAGGTGCACCCCGAATCTGCTCCCACACCCCCTCCTCCAGCAGCTTAGGGTCGAGGACCAGAACCAGTTTTCAATGCATTTAATGACCTCTGAGGAAGTCCCCTTAGAAGATTGCGGCAGCAACCGGGGATGGGAAGGGGCTGTTTCCAAATGAGGTGAACCTGGGGAGGTTGCCTGAGCCTCTGGGCCTCAGCCTCTGTTTTCTGGCAGGCAGAATGGAATGAGCATTCCCTTTTCTCCTGGGCCACTGGGAGACTTTGCCATTGTGAAGGCAAAACGCCTGGCAACAAGTGGGTCTTCTGTGACCATGGCTCTCGCCGTAGGCTTACAGCAGCAGCCGCTGCTTCCTGGGCCTCTGTCCCTCTGTGAAGGTCCCTGCTGCTCCCCCGGTCTCTCAGACAGAATCTTCTGTCTGGGTCAGGGTCTGGCCACACTGTCCCTGAGCTCTCCTTCCAAGCATCCCAGCTGGGGGCAGAAGTGAACCCACAGAAACCCCCATCCACCCCGGACATTGAGGCTGCCCCTGGGAGCTGGCAGATCCTGAACTCTATAAGGCCTGTCCTAGGCGTGGAGCTGGCTGGTAGCTTGAGGGTTTCAAGCCCTCTGGATCCCACCTACACAGGGATTCCCTGGAAACACCCGTCCCTTCTACTCCACACCCCAACCTGACCTCCTGAGGCAGTGGCTGCAGGGGCCCTGGGGGTTCAGCCCCAGCAGTGAGATGGGCCATGGGGCTCTGGAGCCCTGGGTCGTGTGGGGCTCAGGCCTCAGGGCAGATACCCTGGCCCTGGCCTTGGCAACAGCGCCCCTCTTGTTCCCTGGGGCATTGCTCTGCTGCTCGTCTCCTTTTTGCAGCCACCATTTATGTAGCGCCGACTATGTGCAGAGTCTGGGAAGGTGACACAGAGAAGAATAAGAAGAGGGAGTGGTCCTGCCCCAGGGGTGCGGGGCCAGCTGTGAGGCGTTGCAAAGCGCGAGGAGGGGTCCGCGGCTGGTCCGGGGGCCCATGCCTGCGCTTGGGGGACGTGCTGGACAGGGCACGTGGAACCAGGCCAGAGCTGACTTTGTTCTGGGAATGGGAAGAGTTTGTTATTTAGCTTGTTCCTTTCATCTATTTGCATTGCAGAAGTAATCCTTAAATCCAGCCCTTATCTAATCACTAGAAGAGTTACAGAGACAACCAAAGTGCTCTTTGATCCTTCCCCACATCCCAGTCATCTGGGAGCACCCAGGGAGTCACATGGGAAGGGCTGGGATCAGATCTGAGGGTCTAGCAGGGTGTGTCCCAGGGCAGAGCCCTTGCCAGGGGTGAGCAGTGTCCGGGGAGGGAAGGGCCCCAGGGACAGAGCACAGCTGGGCCCTGAGAAGCCTGGGAGGCTGAGGTGGGCAACATGGAGCTGGCTGGCTTCTGAGCAGCCCAGTACCTACCAGGCCCACCCACCCTCAGCCACTGCCAGGAAAACCTGCTCAGGCCCCACTCAGAGCCACTGTGGAAGTGGGAGCTCCACCAAACCTGAGCCCCCAAAGGTGTTTCTCCAGGATCCCCTGCCAGCCCCACCTCCCACAGCCTGAGCACAGACCCCGGGATGCCCCACAGGACCACCTGCTCCCACACAGCCCCGTCACATTCCCCACAGCCCTGTCGCACTCCCCACAGCCCTGTCACACTCCCCACAGCCCTGTTGCACTCCCCACAGACGTGTCAAAACTCCCCACAGCTCTGTCACACTCGCCACAGACCTGTCGCACTTCCCACAGCCCTGTCACACTCCCCACAGCCCTGCAACACTCCCCACAGCCCTGTCGCACTCCCCACATCCCTGTCACACTCCGCACAGCCCTGTCACACTCCGCACAGCCCTGTCAAAACTCCCCATGGCCCTTTCAAAACTCCGCACAGCCCTGTCGCACTCCCCACAGCCCTGTCACACTCGCCACAGACCTGTCGCACTCCCCACAGCCCTGTCCCACTCCCCACGGCCCTGTCAAACTCCCCACGGCCCTGTCACACTCCCCACGGCCCTGTCCCATTCCCCACGGCCCTGTCCCACTCCCCACGGCCTTGTCCCACTCCCCACGGCTCTGTCACACTCCCCACGGCCCTGTCAAACTCCCCAAGGCCCTCTCACACTCCCCACAGCCCTGTCACACTCCCCAAGGCCTTGTCACACTCCCCACGGCCCTGTCGCACTCCCCACATCCCGTGGCATCTGGCTGTACATGGAAGTGAGGAAGCTGCTGTCTCCCCCAAAGAACATTGCTCCCAGCCAGGGCTCAGCTGTGGGGCAGGACTCAGAGGCTCCTGGTTCAGAGACCAAGGCCCTTGTCACTTGCAGCGTGAACAGCAGGGAACTTTGCCCCCGAGTCCCACAACAGAGGTGGGGACCTTGTCACGGTGGGCCCAGGTGACAACACAGGGCCAGCGATTCTTCACCCGGCAGCAAACACTGCGGCAGACGACAAACATTGCAGCCCTTGGCAAACAAAAAGCACGCAGCAAACAGCGTGGTCAGCGAAAAGACCCTCCCCTCCCCGGGGATCAGACAGTGCAAGGCCATCCCCGGGATGACCTGCACCCACCCGGCTGCCTGTGTGACCAGCCACAGAACCCACTCTGCATTAGCACCCACGGCCGGGACAGGCAGGGAGCTGCGCCCGTGGCTTCCTGCATCTGCCGACACCACCCGAGGCTGCCAGGCCACAACATGAAGTCAGCTGTGCCAGGAAATCCCAAGCCTCACCCACACCTGGCCCCGGGCTGTCGCTGCAAGCCAAGGGGTTGTGGGACCTCGCAGGCCTGCAGGCAGCATGCGTGGGCGCTGAGCTGGGGTCCGAGTGTGCCCCTACTCTAGGGCATGGCCGGTGGGCAGGGACAGGGGAAAGGGAAGGAGCAGGATGCCCACCTGGCTGTGGCTGTCTTACCCCATGGAATCCAGGCTCCAACTGACCTCACCATTCTGTGGGTTAATTTTCATTCTTAAAACCTTCATCTAAAGACCTTTGCTTCCTGGAATACAGGCCTGGGTTTTCCCAACAGTCGTGGGCACCCGGCCTGGCACGTGCTGCTCAGTGGAGGGACCTCACAGCCCGTTCTATGTGAGCCGTGCAGGAAAAGCTCCACGGACAAACTCACTCTCCGTGACAATCAGGAGGTTTCTTCTCCAACCACCAGAAGGAGCTGGGGGAGCTCATGAGGCCAGGAAGAGAACAGTCCTAATCCCATCCTTCCCCTCCTCAGCAGTGACCCCAGGGTCTGCTGTCCTGCCCCAACCCACACTTCAAAGAAGGAAGGACACCTGCCTTCCCCTGCTACCTCACACCCCGAAGCATGGGGAGCATGGGGACCCTCGGCAGAGTCCTTTTGTAGTGAAGAATAACAGACTAGTGTAAAATAGCAGAAAAGAAGCTAATGGCCAAACACATCCAAGCTGGGGAAAACACCTGTTAAATATAATGACAGAATATGCTCTCATCAAAACCCAGGAAACTTTAAGAATACACTAAACCTCACAAAATGGGGGCGAAATACAATGATGACCACACGTATGAGAAATGGTCAATGGTAGAATTGAAAGAAATGCAAGGGAAATAAAAGGTAAGGGGTCCTTTCCGAGCAAAGTGGCAACGTCACAACAGCTCACAGTCAGGCTTGGCGGGACAAGAATGCTGGGCAGTGCTGGTTTGCAGGGAGGGGTCAACTTTTCTGGAAGCAGCCCAGCAAAGTGCCCCAGAGCCATCAATTATTCCTGTGCTTCGCAGCCACAGCCCACGAATGCAGGTGCAGCCACAAAAGCGCTGGCAGAGGGGAGGCTGAGAGTGGCGCTGGTTGAAGATTTCTCACAGGAAACAAAAGGCACAGCCTCCACGTGGCTCATGGCCATGAAAACCCTTGACTCAAACCATTCCACGTCGTGAGGAAGACGCGGGTCAGCTGCCCTAGTTGGGTGATGATGATGCTGTCAGGGAAAGCGTCGGTGCCTATGTGGGGAGAGTAGGGGAGTGAGAAACAAAAGCAAAGCGTGGTGGCTCTGTGGCTCCGGTGCCCCGGAGGCCATGGCTCACTTTTTCACAATGAACATGGGCTATTTTCATTTTTTAAAGTCTGCTAATGTTTCTAAGGAGACCATACAGAACCGAAAATTCTGAATAACCTTGTCTTCCATAAGGCAGACTTTTCATTTCTGTCACCTTTCCGGAAGGGCTGGACACAGAGTCTGTGGGTCTGTGATGGAGGTGCCACCATCTCACCCCGAGTCCACGGCCCTCAGTCTCTGTGCTCCCCGAGCCGAAGGTGAGGAATCCATGCCTTATGGTTGGCGAGGGCTGCTGGGGCACCTGCCATCTCATCTGCATCCTGGGAAGCAGGAAGGAGCACAGAGGAAAACACAAGCCTGCTCTGGCCAGCTCAGTGTGCTCCTTCCAGAAACAGGTAAACACAAAATTACCCTGCGAAGCCGCCATTCCATTCCTAGGTCTATCCCCAAAAGAAATCAAAGCAGGGACTCAAATACTTGCACAGCCCTTACCACGACCTGGATGTAGTCAGTGCATCTGTTCCCAGCAAAACTCTTGTTGAAACGGGACCCCCAGTGTGGCAGCGTAGGGAGGTGGGGCCTGAGGGGAGGGAGACGTGTGGGTCGTGGGAGTGACTCCCTGGGGAGTCCGTGGTGCTGGGAGTGATTCTCCTCTTGTGATACAGGGTGAGTTCCCATGGGAATGGATTTGTTCCCATGAGTGGGGCTTGTTCTGAAGCCAAGACATCCCTGAGCTTTATCTCTCTTCCCGTGTCTGCTTCCCCTTTGACCTCCTCCAGCAGAAGCCAGGGCCATGCCATTGAACTTCTCAGCCAGCAGAACTGTGAGCTTGATGAATTACCCCATCACAGAGGTTCTTTTATGGCTACACAGAATGGACTCAGACACCCATGCTCACAGCCGTGCAGTCACAATAGCCCAAAGGTGGAAACAACCCAGCAGGTGAGGGGATCTGAAATGGGGTAGACAAACACATCGGGGTCTTACGGAGCCTGGAAAAGGAGTGTGCTCTGACGCATGCAGCAACGCCACCAACCTTCACAGCCTCGTGCCGAGTGAAGCCAGCCAGTCACAATAGGACCAATGCTGTGACCCCACAGATGGAAGGCCCCCAGAGGAGTCAGATTCAAGAGGAAGATGGCAGAATGGCAGTCAGCAGGGCCAGTGACAGAGGCCGATGGGAGTGAGTGATTAGTCAGGACGGAGCTCCAGTTTCGCCCAGTGAAAAGGTGCTGGAGCTGCATGGTGGCGACAGTGGCACAGCCACGTGCAGGTTCTCAATGCCACGGAACTGTGCACTTACCATGGGGACGGTGGGAACTCTCATGTACCCGCATTTGACCAGAGAGGAAGGAAGGAAGGGAGGGGGGAGGGAGGAGGGAGGGAGGGAGCAGAGAAGGAAGGGAGGGAGGCAGGGAGGGAAGAAGGAAGGAAGGAAGTGAGGGAGGGAGGAAGGGAGAGAAGCAGGAAGGAAGGAAGGAAAGAAAGAAGGAAGGGAGGGAGGGAGGGAGAGGGAGAGAGGGAGGGAGGGAGCAGAGAAGGGAGGGAGGGAGAGCCGGAGGAAAGAAGCAAGGAAGGAAGGAATGGAGGGAGGGAGGGGGGAGGAGGGAGGGAGGGAGCAGAGAAGGAAGGAAGGAAGGGAGAGAGGGAGGGGGGAGGAGGAAGGGAGGGAGCAGAGAAGGAAGGAAGGAAGGGAAGGGGGAGGGAGGAGGCAAAGAAGGAGGGAAGAGGGAGGCAGGGAAGGGGGGAGGGAGGGAGCAGAGAAGGAAGGGAGGGAGGCAGGGAGAGAAGAAGGAAGGAAGGAAGTGAGGGAGGGAGGAAGGGAGAGAAGCAGGAAGGAAGGAAGGAAAGAAAGAAGGAAGGAAGGGAGGGAGGGAGGGGGAGGGAGGAGGAAGGGAGGGAAAGAGGGAGGGAGGGAAAGAGGGAGGGGGGGAGCAGAGAAGGAAGGAAGGAAGGGAAGGGGGAGGAAGGAGGCAGAGAAGGAGGGAGGAGGGAGGCAGGGAAGGAGGGGGAGGGAGGAGGGAGGGAGGGAGCAGAGAAGGAAGGGAGGGAGGCAGGGAGGGAAGAAGGAAGGAAGTGAGGGAGGGAAGAAGGAAGGAAGGAAGGAAGGACGGACCAGCCTGTTAGGCTGACTGACAGAGTACCCCCTGTCCTCCAATGCTGCCCACGGCAGGCATGTGGCAGTGGCTGACAGGGAGTGAGTCTGGAAGCGACCCTTGTCGGGGCAGCCTCCTTGGTCCTGTGATTCAGGACAGGGTGAAAGTCAGTGGCGGCCATTGGTGCCTCTGGCTGGGGTTCCTCACAGGGGCCCGCAAGGGGACAGCGAATGGAGCGTGGAGGGTGGAGGGCTCCTTCTCCGGACCGGAGCGATGGGTTCGGGAGCCATTCTGTGCCTGTCTTTGCTGCTGGGCTGAGGAGCTGGATGGCATGCTGGGAGTAGTGGGAGCTGCTGAGGAGTTTGGTCCTGGAGCGAAGAGGCTGAATCCGCATGTCTGGAGTCACCGTGGAGGGCACAGCTAGAGGGAGCAGCAGGGTGTCCCAGGGAGAAGACACCAGGGCTGGAATTAGAGGGACATCAAGGCTGATACTTAGAGGCATCCAATATATGGGGCCTGCCTGATGGGCTGCTCTCAGGTGGGATTTGGGGGGTGTGAGAGGGGTCAGTGCCCAAATGACCATGGGGTCCGTGGCCTGTATGCCCAGTCAGGTGACGACGCCATTCAGAAAGTAGATCTCATGGGGTGCCCGGCTGCTGAGTCTCAGGCCAGATCTGCAGTGAGTGCGCTGCCCCAGGCGTGGAACACTCTGGTGCCATCGGGACCCAATGCTGAGTGCACCCAAGAGCTGTGGGTCTGAAACAGCGGTCAGAGGTCACCGACATGTGAAGGAGGCCCCTGGAGTGTCAGAGGTCACCGACATGTGAAGGAGGCCCCTGGAGTGTGGGATACAGAACCCCCAGGTGTCCAGCTAGGCAGGAGGCTTTGCAGGACTGAGCAGGTGGGGAGGAAGGGCAGGGAGCGCGGCTGCCAGAGGAGAGAGGGCACTGGGGGTGGCTCGACCTGACGAGGCTGCTTGAAGGAGACACTCTTGGAAACTGACAGGGCTGCAGGCACTCCTGGGAGCAGGAGGAGGGTGGCCTGTCCTGGGCAGACCAGCCTCTCTGGGCTGTGTGGCCCCAGCTCCCTGAGCCCAGAGGGAGGTGAGGGTGAGAAGGCCTGGACCAGGCAGGACGCAGCCCCCAGGGCCCCTGCTGGGAAGAGGTCAGAACCTCCCAAGGACCCAGAAGGCCAGGTAACTGAGAACGGGGCTGCTCTCTGCATCTCCAGGGAGGACAAAGGCGGCCATGGCAGCAAGGGGACAGGGCAGAGGGGAAGGCGGGCAGGTGGATGTTGGAAGCCGCAGATTCCCATCCAGTATCCTAGAGGAGGAGACCCAGGGCTGTGTCCTAGGAGGCCCAGGAAGCCTGGTCAGCCTGGAGGCTGAGGGCGGGCCCGGGAGATCTGGTAAGGACATCAGTGTCTCCACGAAGAGCAGCAGGGTCTCAGCCCATGGCAGCCGCAGGCCCCATGACTGGGGCCGCAGCCTCCAGAGCCGCCACAGCAGCCCATTGTTCTGGGGGGTCAAAGGTGGAGGCTGTCAGAGGGGCAGTGCAGGGGGCTGCTGGGGTGAAGCCCCCTGTAGCAGCAGCACCCAGCCTGCTGTGGCTCTGCCCTCCTGGACCCCCTGTCCTCCTGGACCCCCTTCCCTCCTGGGCCCTCCTGGACCCCCTGCCCTCCTGGACCCCCTGCCCTCCAGGACCCTCTGCCCTCCTGGACCCCCTGCCCTCCTGGACCCCCTGCCCTCCAGGACCCTCTGCCCTCCGGGACCCCCTGCCCTCCAGGACCCCCTGTCCTCCTGGACCCCCTGCCCTCCTGGGCCCTCCTGGACCCCCTGCCCTCCTGGATCCTCTGTCCTCCTGGGTCCTCTGCCCTCCTGGACCCCCTGTCTGTGACCCCTGCTCCCCTCCTCCTTCCCTGACACATGACTGGACCCCCCGATCTGCAGCCGGGGTCTGGGCACTGGGGGTCCTGTGGGCCTCTCGGTGTCTGGGGACAATCACAGGTTCCCGTGCCCACACCCAGCCTCTGCTTCCAGAACACACTAGAGGGTCCCGCCATCCTGATGAGTCCACTGTCCCCGCGATGGTTTTCAGGGATGGAGAAGGCTCCCTGTCCTCCGCTGGAACCCTGCAGCCGGGCTGACGGTACCCCCACCACCCACCCAGGGGCCCCCAGACCCTCCCCATCTCCACCGCCAACCCAGGCCCCGGCTGCGCACGCGGGGCCAGGCCGTGAGCTGCTGTCCCCGGATGGGGCCGCCCCGGGCTGGCCTGGCTCACTCCGTGTCACAGATATTCCCACAGAGACCCCAGCGAGACCTGCAGAACATTACAGCAGAATGAAGGAGAGCCAGAGGAAGAGGCAGATGTGCTGGCCTGTAAACAGTCTGATTTCCAATGTAAACCAGATTCAGGCCCACGACATCAGGTAAACATCTGCATCAGAGCCCCCGGCCCCCCACCGCCCGGGAGGCCCCGGGGTCCACACGGCCGACTCTGGGACCCGTCACAGTGACCGCCGAGACATTTCGTAATTAGGCAAAATTGATCCTTGCATTCCTTCCCTAAATCCCAAATCTCTGCAATTTTACTTCTTCTCAAAAATGAAAACATTTGGCAATTAGCTGATCCAAGTGAAAAAGGTAGAGAATGTGCTCTCAACTGGAAAATGCCAATTAAGGAAGCAGCTCTGACTTCCCACCCGCCCTGGCTAAGCTGGGAGCTTATCTTCCCCGAGAAGAATCTGCTGGGATAAGGGGGCTTGGGAAACACCGAGGGCAGGGCTGCCTCCTCACCTCCTCAGCTTCCTCTGAGAGCAGATTAGCCGTGGCCTTGTGCCAGCAGGGCCTGGGTGCCACACCGGGTGGCAGCGGGTGGCAGAGCCGGGCCCCGCTCCGGCACTGGGATTTGGGGTGGCGGGACCCAGTGGGGCACCCGCTTGTGGGCAGCACTGAGGGCGGTGACGTAGGCAGCGGGTGCCGGTGTCTGCCCCTCCATCTGGCCGGGCTCCCCACCCTGCTCCTGCAGCCCTGGACCTCAGGGCCCATTTGCGGTGCAAGGCGGCTCTTGGTCGGTCTCCACTCCTAAACATTTATGCGTTGAAAATGCCCATTTGTTTGTTTTCTTGTGTTCCATTTATGTGTTCTGTATCCTTTTTTACTTAATTTAAATAATTTTTAAATGTGAAATCGTTAAGTAACCTCAGACGCTCAAACTTTCTGTTCTCCACTCACCGAGTCCATGAGTTCTGTCTCCTTCTTCCCGTGGTTTCTGTTTGCAACAATAACGGAATACCTGCATGTCTAATTTTTTTTTTATTCAAAAGGCAGCATACAATGTATATTCTCTTTATCAAGCTCGTGATTTCTTTTAAAGATTTTATTTTGAAATCATTACAGATTCACAGGAAGTCTCAAAACTAGTACAGAGATTTCCACATGCCCCTCAACCAGTTTTCCCAACGGCTTCGTCTCCCTTAGCTGGAGTGCGTGTCTAAGCCAGGAAGCTGACCGTGCTACAGTGTGTGTATCTGGGTTTTTGCCATGTTGTAGGATGTGGGAATTTGTGTACACACCACCAGGAACAGGACACAGAGCTGTCCCACTGCCACGGCCATCTCCGGGGCTGCCTCATCCCAGAGACTCACTGCCCATGTCCCCGTTCCTTCCTCCTCACACCCTCTGGCCTTTTCCTATGGCTATAAATTTGTCATTTTGCAAATGTGATGTAAATGGAATGCGTGGGACCCTTTCAGATGAGCTCTTCACTCAGGAACATGCCCTTGAGACCATCTAAGCTGCTTCCTGTGTCAACAGTTAGTTCCTTTTTACTGATAAGTAGCCTCCCCTGGTAGGAAAGGACCTCTTTGTTTACCATTCACCTACTGAAGCTTTTGACTATTACAAATAGCGCTGCCATGAGCAATCACGTATAGGTGTTTGTGTGAACATAAATCTTTCTTTCTCTGGGACAAATGCCCAGGAGTGTGACTGCTGGGTCAAATGGTCAGAGTCTGTTTCGCTTTTTTAAGAAACTGTCAAACTCTTTTCCATGGTGGGTGCGCCATGTTACATTCCACACGCAGTGAATGTCATACCGTTTCTCCGAATCTCTGCCAGCATTTGGTCTTGTTATTATATTTTGCGTTAGCTGTTCTAATAGGTACGGAGAAATATTGGGTCATGGTCCCAGCCTGTGTTTCCCTGGGGCCACGCGGGTTGAAGGCCGTTTTGTGACTTCATCTGCCATCTCCACCTTGTCTCCATGATCCTTCTTTCATTGGATTATTTGGCCCTGTTCCGTTGAGTTTTGAGAGTTCTTCTTATATTCTAGATACGAGTCCTTTGTCAGACATGGGTTTTGCAAACATTTTCTCCCAGCCCACAGCTTATCTTTTCATCCATCCTAACAGGATCTTTCACGGCATAAAAGTTTTTAATTTCAATGAGATCTAATTCATTGATTTAAAATATATATGAATCATGCTTTTGATGTTATATCTAGGAAGTCCTTGCCAAGCCCCAGGTCCTGGACACTTTCTTCTATTCTAAAAGTGTTATTGTTTTTGATCCAATTTGAGTTAATTTCCTTTATTTTTACTTTTTTTTTTTTTTTGGGGGGGGACGGAGTCTTACTCTGTCTCCCAGGCTGGAGTTCAGTGGCGTGATCTTGGCTCACTGCGACCTCCAACCCCCAGGTTTAAATGATTCTCATGTCTCAGCCTCCCAAGTAGCTGGGATTACAGGTGCCTGCCACCACGCCTGGATAATTTTTGTTTATTAATGTATTTATTTATTTCGAGACGAGTCTCTCTCTGTTGCCCAGACTGGAGTGCAGTGGCATGATCTTGGCTCACTGCAACCTCTGCCTCCTGGGTTCAAGCGATTCTCCTGCCTCAGCCTCCCAAGTAGCTGGGATTACAGGTGCCTGCCACCACGCCCAGCTAATTTTTGTATTTTTCATAGAGACAGGGTTTCACCATGTTGGCCAGGCTGGTTTCGAACTCCCGATCTCAAGTGATCTGCCAGCCTCGGCCTCCCAAAGTGCTGGGATTACAGGCATGAGCCACTGTGCCCAGCCCCAGTTTGAGTTAATTTTCATATGAACGTGTAGGTCTACGGCCATTTTTGAACCCATGAGTCTGCTCTAGCATGGCTTGTTGGGAAAGCGGCTCTTCTGGCATTGACGGCTCTTGGTCCCTTGTGGGAGGCCAGGTGGCCGTGATCCTGGGGGTCTGCACGCCCCTTTACCTCCACTCTCTCTCTTCCCTGGGGTGACACTCTCTTTTTCAATTTTCTATTTTTTTAATTTTAATTAATTTTTTTTTTTTTAATTTTAGAGATGAGGTCTCACTATGTAGCCCAGGCAGGTCTAGAACTCTAGCCTCAAGAGATCCTCCTTCCTCAGGCTCCCAAAGTGCTAGGATTACATGCATGAGCTGCTGTGCCCACACCCACGGTGACACTCTTGATTACGGGAGCTTTTGAGTAACTCTTAACATTGAGGGGCACGATTCTTCCTTTCTTCTTCTTTTATCATTTAGCTATTCTAGTTCCTTTGCCCCTTTGTACACATTTTAGAATCAATTTATCTAATAAAAAATATTTTTGATATTTTGGTGTGTTGATTAATATGTATTCCTGGTATTTTTGATAAAAAATCTATCTAGATCAATTTAGGAAAAACTAAATTAAAATATAAAAGCACTCAATGTAATTTACTACATTAATATATTTATTGAGAAAAACTATATAGATGACACTCAAAACTATTCCCTAAAACTTAGCCCCTCTGTGAATTTTAAAGTTTTTCTTTTTCTAAACATTATTCCATAAAAAGTGTGAGAATTAATATTCATACGTTTAGTCCATTTTTCTACTGAGCTGCTATTGATTTGTATAATCAATTTGGATATCAGAGATATTAATTTTTATTGTTATATTTGTAAGAAACATTTTCTCTGAATCTGTACTATGTCATTTTTTTACTGTGATTTTCAATAAAGAAGTGTTTCCTTTTGAAACAGTGAAATCTCCCAGACACTCCGTTAACAATGCTTGTGTTTCGCGCCATGCTTTAAGGCCCCCCCAATATCGGGAATACATTCCCCACATGTCCTTCCAGGAATTTTGTACTTTTATTTTTTTGTGTGCATTTGGATTCCTCGTGGATGTGCTCCAGCTGAGATGGGACTGCCTAGCTGGGTGGTTGCTCTGTGTCTCAGCTGAGACGGAGATGGGACTGCCTTGCTGCAGGTGCGTGGTTCTGTTGTTACGTCCTCTGCAGCAGGCCCTGTCTCTTCCTGCTGGCTCAGACACCCCGTCCACGGGGTCCTGAGTTACACTGAGAAGGCTGCCAGGGCCCGGCTCCACTTCCTCCTTCAATTTATGTAATCCAGAAGCAAGGCAGTGCTGTTTTAATAACTGTAGCTTTATAGTCTGTTCTGATAGCTGTCTGGGAAATCACCACTCATTCTTCTTCCTTTATATTTTGCTTTTAAATTTTTAATGGCTATAAAAATTTAAAAAAATTATAAAGACATCCCCCCAAAATTTAATGGCTACACTTGCCTATACATTTTGATGAGAATTTTAGAGAAAACTTGGCAAGATAAAAGTAATTATTTATTTTAATTGGAATATAATTAAATCCATAGGTTGATTTTTAGAGACCTGAAGTTGTAAGTGTTCTCAATCAAGAAGCCTGTTATATCTCTCCATTTATTTACATCTTATGGGTAGGAGGCTTTTTTTTTTTTTTTTTTTGAGATGGGGTTTCACTCTCATTGCCCAGGCTGGAGTGCAATGGTGTAATCTTGGCACATTGCAACCTCCGCCTCCTGGGTTCAAGTGATTCCCCTGCCTCAGCCTCCCAAGCAGTTGGGATTATAGGCATGAGCCACCATGCCGAGCTAAGTTTTTGTATTTTTAGTAGAGACTGGGTTTCGCCATGTTGGCCAGGGTGGTTTCGAACTCTTGACCTCAAGTGACCTGGCCTCCTCAGCCTCCCAAAGTACTGGGATTACAGGTGTGAGCCACTGTGCCCGGCTGCCCATAGAATTCTATAATTTTAAAATTATAAATGGGAAATGTTGTCATGTGGTATTTTCTCTACATAGTGTCTAGAAAATCCGTTGATTTATAATGTTGTATCTTTACTCAGCTTTTGTTCTAGTTGTTTCATTTCTTCCTTTTAAATATTTTGAACTGTATTTAGTTTTTAGTGTGTCCCAATGCTATCATTCAAAACAATGTTTAATAAGACAGGTAGTAGCTGCTTCTCCTAATGTTTCTATGTGACTTTTAATATCACTTCCCGAGGGATATTCTTCAGAAGTTAGATATTAATAGCTTTTCAAGTTTTTCTTTTTTTCTAACATAAACGAATGCTGAACCATAGCAAGCTTTCGAACTTTGTTGAACTTTACCAGCTTTTGCAGCTAATACTTGAGTAGTCATAGGTTTCATCCTTTGTGAATTTCCAGAATCACATAAATAGACCCACTGCTCTTCCTGCCTCGCTAGAATAAACCATACTTGAGCTCAGTGTCTGGCACATGGCAGTTGCTCAATAGATATCTGTTGCGTAAAATGAACGAAGGGGCAAGAACATGGAGAAAACCACCTCTGTGGTTCAGGCATGAAGGGCCTGCTGCAATGGAGCTGTAGGGGCACTGAGGAAACCCTCCCTGGGGCCGGGCGTGGTGGCTCACACCTGTAATCCCAGCACTTTGGGAGGCCAAGGCGGGCAGATCACGAGGTCAGGAGTTCGAAACCAGCCTGGCCAACGTGGCAAAACCCCATCTCTAATAAAAATACAAAAAAATTAGCCCAGCGTGGTGATACACGCCTGTAGTCCCACCTACTTGGGAGGCTGAGACAGGAGGATGGCATGAACCCGGGAGGTGGAGCTTGCAGTGAGCTGAGATCACGCCACTGCACTCCATCCTGGGCGACAGAACAAAACTCTGTCTCAAAAAAAGAAAAAAGAAAATCCTCCCTGGTCCCCAGCCCCAGGCTTCAGCACCAGGTAAGGGTGAGCTTGCCTAGGAGGCCTCGCAGTCTCTGACGCCCTGAGGTAATGGCGGCCACACCTCACCCTGACCCGGCCCACCCATGGCCCAGGCTGGCACAGATCCCACATTCATACCCAGAAGAAGGGGATCCAAAGCCATCTGGGGCATAAAGGCTACCTGCCTCCGTCTCTATTATTCTCTGGACACAGTGTCTGAAATTCAATTAAAATTTATGAGATAGCAAGGAAGGAAGGTAAAATGAACCATGGCCATGTGATAAAACAATTAATAGAATCCAACTTTGAGATGACTCCAATGTTGACACTGTTGCACAGGGACTTTAAAATAACTCACAGGCCAGGTGCGGTGACTCACTCCTGCAATCCCAGCACTCTGGGAGGCCGAGGTGAGCGGATCATGAGGTCAGGAGTTCGAGACCAGCCTGGCCAACAAGGTGAAACCCCATCTCTACTAAAAATACAAAAATTAGCTGGGCATGGTGGCAGGTGCCTGTGGTCCCAGTTACTCGGGAGGCTGAGGCAGGAGAATCGCTCGAACCCGGGAGGCAGAGCTTGCAGTGAGCTGAGATTACATCACTGTACTCCAGCCTGGGTGACAGAGCTAGACTCCATCTCAAAAAAACAAATAAATAAATAAAAATAACTGTGATGGGTATGTTTAGTCAATATGCATTAACAGGTGAGGAATTTCAACAGATAAATGAAAACTGAAAAAAACTAGAACACTGTTTTTATTTATTTATTTTTGAGATGGAGTCCCACACTGTTGCCCAGGCTGGAGTACAGTGATGTAATCTCAGCTCACTGCAAGCTCTGCCTCCCATGTTCGAGTGATTCTCCTGCCTCAGACTCCCCAGTACTGGGATTACAGGCGTGTGCCACCATGCCCAACTATGTTTTGTATTTTTAGTAGAGACGGGGTTTCACCATGTTGGTCAGGCTGGTCTTGAACTCCTGACCTCAGGTGATCCACCCACCTTGGCCTCCCAAAGTGCTGGGATTATAGTCCCAGCTACTTTGGAGGCTGAGGCAGGAGGATCTCTTGAGCCCAGGAGTTAGAGGCTGCAGTGAGCTGTGATCGAACCACTGCACTCCTGCCTGGGCAACAGAGCGTGGCCCTGTCTCAAAAAAAACAAAAGTCAAATGGAAATAGCCTCTCCACCACCGCCCCCCCACCAACAATATCAACATTCTTATCATAGGCTAATTAACACACTGGAAAGAACTAAGGAAAGAATCCATAAACTGGGAGACAGGTGAGTAGAAGTCATCCAAAATGAACACAAAGAGAAAAAAGACAAAGAGAGAGAACTAAATCAAGCATCCAAGACCTTTAAAACACTTCAACACACTCTAGTGAATGTCCACTTATGATCCTAAGAGGAAAGAAGAAATCGTGGAAGAAAAGCTACTTGGAGAGATGGTGGCTGAGAGTCTCCCAAAGCTAGTCAAAGACAAAAAAAATCACATATTTGAGAATTTTGGAGAGCCCTAAGCAGAATAAACACAAACACTCCTGTTAGAACTAATAAAAAATCCAGCAAAGGTGCAGAGTGTAGTATCAATACACAAAAATCCACTGAATTTCTATACATTAGTAATAGACAATCTGAAAATGAAATTAAGAAAATTTTAAATAATAATAGAATAAAATACAGAAGCATATACGTAACCAAAGAAGTATAAGAGTTAAATGCTAAAACCCCCAAATCCTGCTGAGAGGAATTAAAGAAAACATGAGCAACTGGGGAGGCCGCCCGTGTTCATGGGCCAGAGGCACAATCACGTTAACATGGCAATTTGTAAATCCAATATAATCCCTGTCAAAATCCAGCAGGCATTTGTGCAAAATTTGACAAATTGATCCTAATATTTACAAATGAAAATGAAAGGAAAGCCACCGATTAGGATAAAATATTGACAAATCATATAACTGATAAAAGATTGTATCCAGAATAGAAAAAAGAGCTAAAAACTTCATGACAAAAATAACTTAAAGGACCCGGTATGGATAAAACAATTTTTTAAAAGAACAAAATTTAGTAACAAAGACAGTCTCGTATTGGTTTCACTGTAGCCACACAGATCAATGAAACAGGATCAAAAGTCCAGGAAAAAAAAAAAACGTTTTATGTAGATTGTCAATTGATTTTTGACAAAGGCAACAAACAGAACTCAGTCGGGGGACAGACAGTCTTTTCCACAAATAGTGCTGGGACATCTGGATAGCCACATGAGAAAGAAGTTTGGAACCCTATCTCATGTCCTCCACAAGAATTAACACAAAGAGGGTTACATGAAAACCGGGAACTAAAACTTGTAGAAAACATGGGAGAAAGTCAAGGAAGCTGTGGGCCAGGTGCAATTCCTTAGCCATGACATCAAAAATAAGATCGTAAAATAAAACATTGATAGGGTGAACTTCATCGAATTTTTTTCAAATGTGTGCTTCAAAAGACACTAACAAGAAATCGGAAGATAAGTCGCAGATCTGGAGGATGTATTTGCAAACCATATCACTGATGAAAGATTGAACCCAGAATGGAAAAGGAACTAAAAAATTAATGACAAAAACAGCTCCGTTAGAAACAGGCAAAACATCTGCGTAGACATCCAATTTCATAATTTGTGAGAAATGTATTTAGTACCGTACACCTCTCAGTAACAGCTGCTTCACTCTGCCCCGTCCTTCTAATGTGCAATGTTTTTATTACTTTTTAATAATTATGATTATCTCTTTAACCCCAAATTTATGGTAATAGACTATTTGGTTTCCAAACATACAATATTTGCACTATCCCTTTTGTGACTTAATTTCTAATTTTTTTTTTGCCCTGTGGTTGGAAAATATATTTCTGTATGTTGATCATTTGACTGTCAGAAAGCTGCATTGTGGCTTAATGTTTTAATCCTTTTGTAGCCTTCTTTCAGTCCACATACAATTGGCTTGCATTTTCCCTTCCTGTTATTGTCAACTATTCTGTGTCTCTCGCGGGTAACATCGTTTAACTCCATCCATACTCTTGTGTCTTTTAATTGGTAAGTTTAATTTATTCGTTCTTCTGATAACCTGTTGTATCAGGATTCAAAAGTCCTGCTGTCTTAAATCAGGTTTTCTGTTTTGCTGTAGTCCTTTTTCTTTCTTATTATTTTCATGACCATGTTCCCTTCCCAGGGCTGGTCATTTGAGGAGCTGCCAGATTAAGACCTTTGTTGTCCCAGGACAAGCTCCGTTGCAGAGGCCGCAGAGGCCACCAAGAAGAGGGCTCCGTGCGGAGAGTGCATCCTGATCCCCGGGACCAGGCCAGGTGCGAGGCGTGCCCTGGCTGAAACTCAGTGCCTTGGTATTTTTGGAACCTACTTGGGGAAGAAAAATCTGGAAACCCTGTCCTCCCAGTACTGAGCGTTTTCTGTCTCGGAAGAGGTGGTAGTTGCAGTTCACTTCGGAGCCGCCTGCTGTTTTCACTTTGGGGGACTCTGGAGTTTTAGTTGCACAAACAAGGAATTGCCTGCATGTTCCCTGGATGCAAATGTCTCAGGAGGGGAATGTGTGTGTGTGTGTGTGTGTCCTGTCGTACGTGGGTGCTCCCCCCTGCCCTCCTCTCAATCCTCATCAGTGCCTGACGAGCTCTGGGCAGCACACCGAGGGATCCAGGCTGGTGCCTTGGGGCTGAGACTCAGGAAGATCATGTCTCCTCCCTCCCACTGAGGTCTTTGCCCGGGACCTCACTTCCTAGACGAGGAGCAGCCTCTTTCCAGGACAACCCAGAGTGGAAAGGTCCTCCTTGGGACAATTACTCCAGAACTCAGGCGGTGGGTTTCACTCTGTCCAGGTGGCAGCTGCCTGTCCAGCTGATGAACACCCCACAGCGTGCAGAGGCCGTGCTATCCCGTGGCTGCTCTGCACACATGATTTCAGAAAATCCATAAAATTGATTAATCTTTCCCCTGTCTAATCACTAAAGAGAGAGACTGCACAAATTAGCAAGATTGGGAAAGAAGGAGATTCTATAAATATGTAAAAGGATGAAAGGGACTATTCAGAACATTCAGGTCAATAAATCTGACAACTCAGATGTGATGGATACATTTTTTTGAAAGACACGAATTATTAAAGTCACTAAAAAAATAGATAAACCAAAGAGCCCTGTATTTGTTAAGAAAATTAAACTTGTAGTTCAAAAACCTTCCGACAAAGGAAATGACAGGTCAAATTGTTTCACTGGTAAATTTCACCCAGCAGTCAACAAATAGAGAATCCTGACTCTGTACAACTTTTTCCAGGAAACCGAAGACCAGAGAACATTTCCTAACACATTCTACGAGGCTTATCCTGATACCAAAACCAAACAAAGATATCACAAGAGAACTACAGGCCAATACCCCTCATGAACATAGAGGCAAACATTTAGCAAACTGGATACAGTAATATGTACAATAATAATACATGATGACAACGTGGAGTTTATCCCAGTAACGCAAGATCAACTGAATATTTGAAAGATCAGTGCATTTCACCACATTCACAAGCTAAAAAAGAAAAGCCATATGATCATCTCCATAGACACAGAAAAAAATCTGATATCCGTTATGCATTTATAATAAAAACTCAAGCCAAATGAGAGCACAAGGGAATGTTCCCAGTCTGATAAAGGGGCGTCTCCGAAGCAGATGCAGCAGGCATCTTGCTTCCTAGCAGAAGATTGCCCGCTTTCCCCCAAGAGAAGGAACCAGCAGCAGTGCCTACTCAAAGCGTCTCTATTCTAGTTGGTGCAATGAGGCACGGAAAGGAAAACAAAACAAAACAAAACATAGATTGCAGAGGAAGAAGTAAGACAGGGTCATGGCCATCCCTGTAGAAAATCTAACAGAATCTTCTAGAAAGCTACTAGAACTAATGAGTGACTTAAGCAAAATAGTAGGCTATAAGATCAGTATACAAAATCAGTAGTCAGTAATAAAGGGATAATTAACCCCATTTAAAAAATGATAGACATGTCTCCAAAGAAGAGATACAAATGGCAAATAGCACAGGAAAAGGTGTGGCATGTCACTACTCATTAGGGAAGCACAAAACACACTCACAGTGAGGCATCATTCCACACTGTCTCTGGAACAGCGTCAGTGAGGCCGATAATCCGTGTTAGTGAGGACGTGGATAAGTTCGAACACTCCTATGTTGTTGGCGGGAACACAACATGATTTAATCGCCTTGGAGAACAGTTTGGCAGTTCCTCAAAATGTTAAACATAGATGTATCCTATGATTTAGCAATTCTACTCCGCCCAAGAAAAATGAAAACGTGTCCACACAAAAACATGTGCACAAATGTCCACCATGGCATTGTTCTAATAGCCACATGGAGGGAGCAGCCCATGTGTCCCAGCACCAATAAATGGTTTCACAAAACGCAGACTAGCCACACAATGGGGTATTTCTCAGCTATAAAAAGAAATGAAGTTCTGGTCACCATGACGTGCATGAACCTTGAAACCTTGCGCTAAGTGAAAGAGGCCAGACACAGAAGGATGAACATAGCAGAACCCGATTTGTATTCAGCAGAGGCAAAGCCGCAGAGAGGGAGGAGAGATCAGTGGTGGCCAAGGCCAGCGGAGAAGCTCAGCGGGAGGAGTAGGGAGTGACTGCTGATGGGTATGGCTTCTTTGAGGTGATAAAAATGTTCTAGAATTACATTGTGATGGTGGTTAGAGCATGGTGACGGCTGGACAACTCTGCGAATATATGAAAAACCACCGAATTGTGTACTTGAAGTGGGTGAAGTGTGTGATATGAGTTTTATCTTCATGAGGCCACTAAAAATCAATTGCATTTCTGTATTACAGCAGAAATTGAACTCAAATGCCATTTAAAATTACAGAGAGAACATGAATCCTTACGAATAAATCTCACAAAAGATGTACGAGATATGCTAAGAGCACGGCTGGGAGAAAGTCAAGGTGAATGAAATAAATGGAGGTGCGCACCACGTTCACGGGTCAAACTCTTGATATTGACGGGATGCCACGTCTTCCCAAATGGGTTAATGAATTCAGTACCATTGCAATCAGAATCCCAGAAGCGCTTCTTTTCTCTTAAGAGAAATTCCCATGTTGATTATAAAAAATATAAGGACATGCAGAGGACCTAGAATAACCAAAAGAATCTTGAAAAAGAGAAAACAGTTGGAGGACCAAAGATCTGTGATTTCAAGACTCGCCGTGAGGCTACAGTCATGGAGACAGAAGGGGATTGGTGTCAAGAGAGACAAACGGGTCAGCAGAACAAAATATACAGTATGAGGAGGGGATTTTAAACGATGCAACCGCTTTGAAAAACAGTTTGGTGGGTTCTTAAACGGTGAGGTCCACGCTTTCCATATGACCAATTCTACACCTAGGTATTTAGCAAGAGAAATGAAAGCATTTGCCCACGAACGCTCACAGCAGCTATGGGCGAAGTCTCCCGGGTTTGCTTCTGGATAGGATGAAGGAACTTAGCAAGTCCTCTCTGTCTTTCTCTCTGTTTCTCTCTTTCTCTCTGTCTGCCTCTCTCGACAAGCCTAGCTTTCCAGCTGACTGTCTTGTTGCAAGATCCTATTTTGAATATTAAAAAATGAATGTCAGCTCTCTTATGATGATTAATTTTATGTGTCAATTTGGAAAGTGTATTTAGAGGACATTAACTTCATTTATTTATTTTTTTTGAGACGGAGTCTGGCTCTGTTCCCCAGGCTGGAGTGCAGTGGTGTGATCTCGGCTCACTGCAGCCTCCACCTCTACCTTCTGGGTTCAACCGATTCTCCTGCCTCAGCCTCCCGAGTAGCTGGTATCACAGGTGTGTGCCACCATGCCCGGCTAATTTTTTGTATTTTTAGTAGAGACGGGATTTCCCCATGTTGGCCAGGCTGGTCTCAAACTCCTGACCTCAGGTGACCCGCCTGCCTCGGCCTCCCAAAGTGTTGGGATTACAGGCATGAGCCACTGCGCCCAGCCTGAGGTTAACTTTTAAATGGATGAACTTTGGGTGAAGCATGTTGCCTTCTGTAATGTGGGTGGCCTCTTCCGATCAGTTAAAGTCTTGAATACAGCAGAAAGCCAGCCTTCCTGAGCAAGAGAGATTCTCCAGCGGACGGCCTTGGGACTTCATCCGCTCCACGGACTCTGCTGGGTCTGCAGCTGGCCAACCCACACTGCCTGCACTGCCCACACTGCCCACACTACCCACACTACCTACACTATCCACACTACCCACACCACCCACTCTATCCACACTACCCACACTACCCACACTGCCCACACTACCCACACTGCCCACACTATCCACACTACCCACACTATCCACACTACCCACACTGCCCACACTACCCACACTGCCCACACTGCCCACACTGCCCACACTACCCACACTGCCCACACTATCCACACTACCCACACTACCCACACTACCCACACTATCCACACTACCCACACTGCCCACACTGCCCACACTGCAGATGCTGGACTTGCAGCCTCCATTACCCCATGAGTCCCCGCCTTATAATAAATCTCCTTCTCACTTTATGCACCCCCCTACCCCCAGTTCTGTTTCTCTGGAGACCCTGACTCAGCTACTGTGATCCCAGGGAAAGGGAGCCTCAGAGAAAGGAACCCTGTGTCCCCCGGGCTTTCTCTCCAGGGATTTGCTGACACCTCCACTGTGCATGGCTGGGGTGAGAAACCAGGCAGAAAACAGCTGCTTCGAGGCCAGAATTACAGGTAAAGAGTTCAGCATCCTCCCCTTTGTGGGGGAACTGTGGAGCACGAGGCCTTCCAACGAGAGGCCCTGGCGTCAGCACAGACCACGAGAGGGCTGGGCTCAGGATCAGCGCCACTGAAGGACCCTGCCTGCATGGAGGCGCGTGATCCAGTGTTCTTTCCTTGCTGGCAGCAGAAAATGTTACTGGCTCCGAAGGAAGATGACAACATCCTGCCTCTTTGCTGAAGTACGTGCACAGCATCCAATGCACCCAGGACCTCTCAGGGCGCCAGACCCTGGCTCTGTGCTTCGGTTGCGTGACTCGGGCAAGCTTCTCATTTCTCCCGCCTTAGTCTCCTCTCACCTCACAGGGCTGTCATGAGGCATGCTGGGCACATGCAGCTCACAGAGAAGGGCTGGCTTCCTCCTTGCACCCTCGCTTCCCTCCTTCCTCTCTCCAGCAGGCAGGCTGATTGTGGAGATGTCTCCTGGGCAGCATGCCTCAGCAGGGATTTCATGGGGACGGTGAGAATTAACATCCACTCTTGCGGGCGTCAAGTCACTGAAGGACAAAGCCCCGGAGGCAGAGGAGGCTGTCGCCCTTTCCCCAGGACTCCACATCTGTGGCTGCTGGTCCCCCAAAACCCTGAGAGTTAATAATCCATGCCTGACCTAGGGCAATGGAACGAGGTCTTATCAGGAAAAGCAGGCAGGTCCTCTGCCTTCCTAAAAATTAATGTTTTATCATCAGACTATGAACATGATAATTTTTAAATCTCGATGCTGGAGATCACAGGAAAACATTCTCTCAGGGGCAACATGGAAATCGCTGCTTTGCACAGGGTGACCCAGCCCACACTGTCAATCTGGTGAACTCCCTCACTCTACAAAGCCCACCTCAAATCCCCCCTGCTCTCTGCACAGAAAGCCGCAAATTGTTTCCTGCAATAAAGAGCCTGACTCCGTTTTTATGATGTTTGACGGCTCACTGCTTTGACACCTCACCCATCCCTCTTCCCATGTGCCCCACAGCAGGGCAGGTGTCTTTGGTGCCAGTGAGAGGCTCAAGCCCTGCAGGCTCCTGCCCATGTGAGGCCATCACCCCACCCCCGAGGCATAAGAAGAGCCCCACGCCAGCTCCCTTCCTGAAGCCACC
Source organism: Homo sapiens (assembly GCF_000001405.40). Lineage (NCBI taxonomy): Eukaryota > Metazoa > Chordata > Mammalia > Primates > Hominidae > Homo > Homo sapiens. Next base: position 143,202 of record NT_187657.1, on the reverse strand, counting down.
GTGCACCCCGTGAAAGCCCAGCTAGGTAAGTACCAGACCCTTTCATCTCGTCCCGGTGTGTGGGGGCGTCTTCAGGGTTGACGGAGGAACCACATTTGGGTGGGGTCCCTCCTCTTTTTCCAGAGTGACCACAGCACTCCACTATTTCTTCTTTTCTTTCTTATTTATTTATTTATTTATTTTTTTTTTTGAGATGGAGTCTCGGTCTGTTGCCCAGGCTGGAGTTCAGTGGTGCTATCTCTACTCACTGCAGCCTCTGCCTCCTGGGCTCAAGTGATCCTCCCACGTCAGCCTCCCGAGTAGCTGGGACTACAGGCACACGCCACCACACCCGGCTAATTTCTGTGTTTTCAGTAGAGATGGGGTTTCACCATGTTGCCCAGGCTGGTCTCGAACTCCTGACCTCAAGTGATCCATCCGCCTCGGCCTCCCAAAGTGCTGGGATTACAGGCGTGAGCCGCCGCGCCCGGCCAGCACTCTCCAATTTCTGATCCAACTGCATTGTCATACAGAAATCACACCTTGATCGTGTTTACAGACTCATTTCTACGCATAGATACATGTCTCTGATTCCATGCACTGCAACGGTCATTGCATTTAAAAAAGAGGCAAACGCCAAGTCTCCCAGCGCCTTGGAAGACTCAGCCTCTGGGGGCTCCATGGTTTCTGCTTGAAAGGCCGATGGCTGCTTTGCAGAGAACCAGTCCTGAGACTCATACCTTTCTATTCCGATGAGAGAACATTTCTGCACAAGAACCTAGGTCAGGGTTCATGTGTCTGTCCCTTGCGTTCTGCAAAGGACCGGATCATAAATGGTGCAGCTCTGGGGGCCACCCGGGCCCTATGGAAGGAACTTGTCCCTGCCGTCGTGGGGGATGCAGCTGCACATGGCCTGTGGACGTGCTCCAGGAAGGCGCCTGCGGGGGTGGCTGTGAACTCCCGCTGTCCCCAGCACATTCCCTGTTGACACATCCTGGCTGGGAGATGTCTCCACAATCAGCCTGTGTGCTCCGAAGTGAGGGGGAGAGGGGAAGGAGGGAGGTGAGGGGGCAAGGAGGAAGCCATCACTTCTCTATGAGCTGCGTGTGCCCAGCAGGCCTTGTGACAGCGCTGTGAGGTCGTGCACGTGAGAAGAGACTGAGGCGGGAGAAATGAGAAATAAAAACTGAACATGAGTTCAATTCATCTTGCGTTTCCTTCAGGACAAAATGTGAATTTCATGTCAGTAGTTTGTGCAACCAAGTCCTCTTTGTCCTGTGACTTTTATTCAGGCACTGAACAGTGTAAACTGATTCACACCTTCTGGGCTGCACCACCACAGGGGCCAGCAGGCCTGGGTCCCCCCACCCACCTGGAGTGAGGGGTGCAGTTAGGCCGGCCGGGCATGGTCCCTGCAATCAAGTCTCTAGAGCGGGGGTGACGGCCACGGGGCCTGAAAAGCGGTTCCATAGTGTCTGCAGCTTCTGAGCACTGAGGGATGAGCCCACACACGCATCACAAAACAGCCACAGTGACCTGACCCACACTGTCCAGACGATGGGGCCACATAGGATTCCCACAGTGGGAGATGCTGACCTGGACAAGAGAGGGCAAGGGACAGAAGCTCCCAAGACCCAAGGTAGGGCCCTGCGGGCAAAATGGCCAAGAGCCGCCTTGCACCGCAAATGGGCCCTGAGGTCCAGGGCTGCAGGAGCAGGGTGGGGAGCCCGGCCAGATGGAGGGGCAGACACCGGCACCCGCTGCCTACGTCACCGCCCTCAGTGCCGCCCACAAGCGGGTGCCCCACTGGGTCCCGCCACCCCAAATCCCAGTACCAGAGCCGGGCCCGGCTCTGCCACCCCTGCCACCCTGTGTGGCACCCAGGCCCTGCTGGCACAAGGCCACGGCTAATCTGCTCTCAGAGGAAGCTGAGGAGGCAGCCCTGCCCTCGGTGTTTCCCAAGCCCCCTTATCCCAGCAGATTCTTCTCGGGGAAGATAAGCTCCCAGCTTAGCCAGGGCGGGTGGGAAGTCAGAGCTGCTTCCTTAATTGGCATTTTCCAGTTGAGAGCACATTCTCTACCTTTTTCACTTGGATCAGCTAATTGCCAAATGTTTTCATTTTTGAGAAGAAGTAAAATTGCAGAGATTTGGGATTTAGGGAAGGAATGCAAGGATCAATTTTGCCTAATTACGAAATGTCTCGGCGGTCACTGTGACGGGTCCCAGAGTCGGCCGTGTGGACCCCGGGGCCTCCCGGGCGGTGGGGGGCCGGGGGCTCTGATGCAGATGTTTACCTGATGTCGTGGGCCTGAATCTGGTTTACATTGGAAATCAGACTGTTTACAGGCCAGCACATCTGCCTCTTCCTCTGGCTCTCCTTCATTCTGCTGTAATGTTCTGCAGGTCTCGCTGGGGTCTCTGTGGGAATATCTGTGACACGGAGTGAGCCAGGCCAGCCCGGGGCGGCCCCATCCGGGGACAGCAGCTCACGGCCTGGCCCCGCGTGCGCAGCCGGGGCCTGGGTTGGCGGTGGAGATGGGGAGGGTCTGGGGCCCCTGGGTGGGTGGTGGGGTACCGTCAGCCCGGCTGCAGGGTTCCAGCGGAGGACAGGGAGCCTTCTCCATCCCTGAAAACCATCGCGGGGACAGTGGACTCATCAGGATGGCGGGACCCTCTAGTGTGTTCTGGAAGCAGAGGCTGGGTGTGGGCACGGGAACCTGTGATTGTCCCCAGACACCGAGAGGCCCACAGGACCCCCAGTGCCCAGACCCCGGCTGCAGATCGGGGGGTCCAGTCATGTGTCGGGGAAGGAGGAGGGGAGCAGGGGCCACAGACAGGGGGTCCAGGAGGGCAGGGGGTCCAGGAGGACAGAGGATCCAGGAGGGCAGGGGGTCCAGGAGGGCCCAGGAGGGAAGGGGGTCCAGGAGGACAGGGGGTCCAGGAGGGCAGAGCCACAGCAGGCTGGGTGCTGCTGCTACAGGGGGCTTCACCCCAGCAGCCCCCTGCACTGCCCCTCTGACAGCCTCCACCTTCCACCCCCCAGAACAATGGGCTGCTGTGGCGGCTCTGGAGGCTGCGGCCCCAGTCATGGGGCCTGCGGCTGCCATGGGCTGAGACCCTGCTGCTCTTCGTGGAGACACTGATGTCCTTCCCAGATCTCCCGGGCCCGCCCTCAGCCTCCAGGCTGACCAGGCTTCCTGGGCCTCCTAGGACACAGCCCTGGGTTTCCTCCTCTAGGATACTGGATGGGAATCTGCGGCTTCCAACATCCACCTGCCCGCCTTCCCCTCTGCCCTGTCCCCTTGCTGCCATGGCCGCCTTTGTCCTCCCTGGAGATGCAGAGAGCAGCCCCGTTCTCAGTTACCTGGCCTTCTGGGTCCTTGGGAGGTTCTGACCTCTTCCCAGCAGGGGCCCTGGGGGCTGCGTCCTGCCTGGTCCAGGCCTTCTCACCCTCACCTCCCTCTGGGCTCAGGGAGCTGGGGCCACACAGCCCAGAGAGGCTGGTCTGCCCAGGACAGGCCACCCTCCTCCTGCTCCCAGGAGTGCCTGCAGCCCTGTCAGTTTCCAAGAGTGTCTCCTTCAAGCAGCCTCGTCAGGTCGAGCCACCCCCAGTGCCCTCTCTCCTCTGGCAGCCACGCTACCTGCCCTTCCTCCCCACCTGCAAAGCCTCCTGCCAAGCCTGACACCTGGGGATTCTGTCTCCCACACTCCAGGGGCCTCCTCCACATGTCAGTGACCTCTGACCGCTGTTTCAGACCCACAGCTCTTGGGTGCACTCAGCATTGGGTCCCGATGGCACCAGAGTGTTCCACGCCTGGGGCAGCGCACTCACTGCAGATCTGGCCTGAGACTCAGCAGCCGGGCACCCCATGAGATCTACTTTCTGAATGGCGTCGTCACCTGACTGGGCATACAGGCCACGGACCCCATGGTCATTTGGGCACTGACCCCTCTCACACCCCCCAAATCCCACCTGAGAGCAGCCCATCAGGCAGGCCCCATATATTGGATGCCTCTAAGTATCAGCCTTGATGTCCCTCTAATTCCAGCCCTGGTGTCTTCTCCCTGGGACACCCTGCTGCTCCCTCTAGCTGTGCCCTCCACGGTGACTCCAGACATGCGGATTCAGCCTCTTCGCTCCAGGACCAAACTCCTCAGCAGCTCCCACTACTCCCAGCATGCCATCCAGCTCCTCAGCCCAGCAGCAAAGACAGGCACAGAATGGCTCCCGAACCCATCGCTCCGGTCCGGAGAAGGAGCCCTCCACCCTCCACGCTCCATTCGCTGTCCCCTTGCGGGCCCCTGTGAGGAACCCCGGCCAGAGGCACCAATGGCCGCCACTGACTTTCACCCTGTCCTGAATCACAGGACCAAGGAGGCTGCCCCGACAAGGGTCACTTCCAGACTCACTCCCTGTCAGCCACTGCCACATGCCTGCCGTGGGCAGCATTGGAGGACAGGGGGTACTCTGTCAGTCAGCCTAACAGGCTGGTCCGTCCTTCCTTCCTTCCTTCCTTTCTTCCTTCTTCCCTCCCTGCCTCCCTCCCTTCCTTCTCTGCTCCCTCCCTCCCTCCTCCCTCCCCCTCCTTCCCTGCCTCCCTCCTCCCTCCTTCTCTGCCTCCTTCCTCCCCCTTCCCTTCCTTCCTTCCTTCTCTGCTCCCCCCCTCCCTCTTTCCCTCCCTCCCTCTTTCCCTCCCTTCCTCCTCCCTCCTCCCTCCCCCCTCCCTTCCTTCCTTCTTTCTTTCCTTCCTTCCTTCCTTCTTCTCTCCCTGCCTCCCTCCCTTCCTTCTCTGCTCCCTCCCTCCCCCCTTCCCTGCCTCCCTCTTCCCTCCTTCTTTGCCTCCTCCCTCCCCCTTCCCTTCCTTCCTTCCTTCTCTGCTCCCTCCCTCCCTCCTCCCTCCCCCCTCCCTTCCTTCCTTCCTCTCTGGTCAAATGCGGGTACATGAGAGTTCCCACCGTCCCCATGGTAAGTGCACAGTTCCGTGGCATTGAGAACCTGCACGTGGCTGTGCCACTGTCGCCACCATGCAGCTCCAGCACCTTTTCATCGCGCGAAACTGGAGCTCCGTCCTGACTAATCACTCACTCCCATCGGCCTCTGTCACTGGCCCTGCTGACTACCATTCTGCCATCTTCCTCTTGAATCTGACTCCTCTGGGGGCCTTCCATCTGTGGGGTCACCGCATTGGTCCTATTGTGACTGGCTGGCTTCACTCGGCACGAGGCTGTGAAGGTTGGTGGCGTTGCTGCATGCGTCAGAGCACACTCCTTTTCCAGGCTCCGTAAGACCCCGATGTGTGTGTCTACCCCATTTCAGATCCCCTCACCTGCTGGGTTGTTTCCACCTTTGGGCTATTGTGACTGCACGGCTGTGAGCATGGGTGTCTGAGTCCATTCTGTGTAGCCATAAAAGAACCTCTGTGATGGGGTAATTCATCAAGCTCACAGTTCTGCTGGCTGAGAAGTTCAATGGCATGGCCCTGGCTTCTGCTGGAGGAGGTCAAAGGGGAAGCAGACACGGGAAGGGAGATAAAGCTCAGGGATGTCTTGGCTTCAGAACAAGCCCCACTCATGGGAACAAATCCATTCCCATGGGAACTCACCCTGTATCACAAGAGGAGAATCACTCCCAGCACCACGGACTCCCCAGGGAGTCACTCCCACGACCCACACGTCTCCCTCCCCTCAGGCCCCACCTCCCTACGCTGCCACACTGGGGGTCCCGTTTCAACAAGAGTTTTGCTGGGAACAGATGCACTGACTACATCCAGGTCGTGGCAAGGGCTGTGCAAGTATTTGAGTCCCTGCTTTGATTTCTTTTGGGGATAGACCTAGGAATGGAATGGCGGCTTCGCAGGGTAATTTTGTGTTTACCTGTTTCTGGAAGGAGCACACTGAGCTGGCCAGAGCAGGCTTGTGTTTTCCTCTGTGCTCCTTCCTGCTTCCCAGGATGCAGATGAGATGGCAGGTGCCCCAGCAGCCCTCGCCAACCATAAGGCATGGATTCCTCACCTTCGGCTCGGGGAGCACAGAGACTGAGGGCCGTGGACTCAGGGTGAGATGGTGGCGCCTCCATCACAGACCCACAGACTCTGTGTCCAGCCCTTCCGGAAAGGTGACAGAAATGAAAAGTCTGCCTTATGGAAGACAAGGTTATTCAGAATTTTCGGTTCTGTATGGTCTCCTTAGAAACATTAGTAGACTTTAAAAAATGAAAATAGCCCATGTTCATTGTGAAAAAGTGAGCCGTGGCCTCCGGGGCACTGGAGCCACAGAGCCACCACGCTTTGCTTTGTTTCTCACTCCCCTACTCTCCCCACATAGGCACCGACGCTTTCCCTGACAGCATCATCATCACCCAACTAGGGCAGCTGACCCGCGTCTTCCTCACGACGTGGAAAGTTTTGAGTCAAGGGTTTTCATGGCCATGAGCCACGTGGAGGCTGTGCCTTTTGTTTCCTGTGAGAAATCTTCAACCAGCGCCACTCTCAGCCTCCCCTCTGCCAGCGCTTCTGTGGCTGCACCTGCATTCGTGGGCTGTGGCTGGGAAGCACAGGAATAATTGATGGCTCGTGGGGCACTTTGCTGGGCTGCTTCCAGAAAAGTTGACCCCTCCCTGCAAACCAGCACTGCCCAGCATTCTTGTCCCGCCAAGCCTGACTGCGAGCTGTTGTGGCATTGCCACTTTGCTTGGAAAGGACCCCTTATCTTTCATTTCCCTTGCATTTCTTTCAATTCTACCATTCACCATTTCTCATACGTGTGGTCATCATTGTATTTCGCCCCCATTTTGTGAGGTTTAGTGTATTCTTAAAGTTTCCTGGGTTTTGATGAGAGCATATTCTGTCATTATATTTAACAGGTGTTTTCCCCAGCTTGGATGTGTTTGGCCATTAGCTTCTTTTCTGCTATTTTACACTAGTTTGTTATTCTTCACTACAAAAGGACTCTGCCAAGGGTCCCCATGCTCCCCATGCTTCGGGGTGTGAGGTAGCAGGGGAAGGCAGGTGTCCTTCCTTCTTTGAAGTGTGGGTTGGGGCAGGACAGCAGACCCTGGGGTCACTGCTGAGGAGGGGAAGGATGGGATTAGGACTGTTCTCTTCCTGGCCTCACAAGCTCCCCCAGCTCCTTCTTGTGGTTGGAGAAGAAACCTCCTGATTGTCACGGAGAGTGAGTTTGTCCATGGAGCTTTTCCTGCACAGCTCACATAGAACGGGCTGTGAGGTCCCTCCACTGAGCAGCACGTGCCAGGCCGGGTGCCCACGACTGTTGGGAAAACCCAGGCCTGTGTTCCAGGAAGCAAAGGTCTTTAGATGAAGGTTTTAAGAATGAAAATTAACCCACAGAATGGTGAGGTCAGTTGGAGCCTGGATTCCATGGGGTAAGGCAGCCACAGCCAGGTGGGCAACCCCTTGGCATGCAGCGACAGCCCGGGGCCAGGTGTGGGCGAGGCTTGGGATTTCCTGGCACAGCTGACTTCATGTTGTGGCCTGGCAGCCTCGGGTGGTGTCGGCAGATGCAGGAAGCCACGGGCGCAGCACCCTGCCTGTCCTGGCCGTGGGTGCTAATGCAGAGTGGGTTCTGTGGCTGGTCACACAGGCAGCCGGGTGGGTGCAGGTCATCCCGGGGATGGCCTTGCACTGTCTGATCCCCGGGGAGGGGAGGGTCTTTTCGCTGACCACGCTGTTTGCTGCGTGCTTTTTGTTTGCCAAGGGCTGCAATGTTTGTCGTCTGCCGCGGTGTTTGCTGCCGGGTGAAGAATCGCTGGCCCTGTGTTGTCACACCTGGGCCCACCGTGACAAGGTCCCCACCTCTGTTGTGGGACTCGGGGGCAAAGTTCCCTGCTGTTCACGCTGCAAGTGACAAGGGCCCTGGTCTCTGAACCAGGAGCCTCTGAGTCCTGCCCCACAGGGCTGAGCCCTGGCTGGGAGCAATGTTATTTGGGGGAGACAGCAGCTTCCTCACTTCCATGTACAGCCAGATGCCACGGGATGTGGGGAGTGCGACAGGGCTGTAGGGAGTGGGACAGGGCCGTGGGGAGTGTGACAGGGCCGTGGGGAGTGTGACAGGGCCATGGGGAGTGTGACAGGGCCGTGGGGAGTGTGACAGGGCCGTGGGGAGTGTGACAGGGCCGTGGGGAGTGTGACAGGGCCGTGGGGAGTGTGACAGGGCCGTGGGGAGTTTGACAGGGCCGTGGGGAGTGTGACAGGGCCGTGGGGAGTTTGACAGGGCCGTGGGGAGTGGGACAGGGCCGTGGAGAATGGGACAGGGCCGTGGAGAGTGTGACAGGGCCATGGGGAGTATGTTTATTGGTACCCATGAGACAGTCATAGACTGACATTCAGCTTCTAAGCAGGGTAGGGTCTCCAGCCTGACACACGTCTTCGTGGTCACCCAAGCCCCCGAAGGCAGTGTTCTGTGCTCATCATCCCTCTGCGCCTGTGGTGACCCGCACAGCTCACCCCGTCCATCTTAACGCCCTCTCTCCTCTCACCTGCTGCCCCTACCCTCCCGGCTGTCCCCTGTGTAGGCTTCGCAGCTTCTCCGCGTCCATCAGCTCTGAGGCTCCTGGAGGCCTTCTCTCTTCTCCTTCTCCCCCTCCTCCTCTCTCTCCCCTCTCCTCCTCAACCTCCTCTCCCTTTTCCTCCTCTCCTTCCCCTCTCCCAATCTCCCGCTCTCCCAGTCTCTTTACACAACATCTGTGCACCAGAAATTTTAAATATGATCCTGCAGTCCCTAACTGTGCCCAAGGGGCAGTCTCATCATGGGCTGTGTTCTGCACACCTCCTGGCCGTGTCACAGGCGTCTGATCTCGGCATATGTATGATGCACCTTCTGATTCGACCCACAGCCTTTACCCTTCTGATTGCTGGTGCCACGCCCCATTGTGAGAAGTCAGGAGTCACATCAGAAACTTGCTTTTCCTCAGCGGCACCTCCTGCTCGTGACGGGCCCTGTTCCTTTCCCCTCAGAGACGTACCTGGGATCCATCCTGGCCTCTCAGTCAGGGCCGACTTCCCCACCCCAGTGTTTGCTACCATGATTGTGACCTGTTCTAAGCTGAGTTTCTGCAGCTTTGCCGGTCACATGCATTCTTTCCTCCCCAAGACAACCCCTCATCACACAGCAGAGACAGTGGTCACTGAGAACATGGTCTGCCTCCCATCTCTCCCCTTCGTGGGCACCTCAGTGGCCTCCTGCTGCGCTCCGAACAAAAGCCAGAGACCCTGCTGAACCTGGGATGGGTTGGTAGAAGATGGGCTCCCCACGGGACCCGGGCGGGGGACAGCCCCCTCAGCCTCACGGCTTCCCAGACAGAGCGAAGGTGTCCTTCCAGTCTCTCCACATGTCATCTTAAATAAAGTTAGTTAATTCCATGCCTGTGGTTCTGAACCTCCTTTGTCTAATTGTTTCTGGTAATTCCATCCTCCAGCCGCCGCGGCAGGGGAACATTAAGTGGGGCTACCAGGTTTTGTGGGTGTTGTTTTTGTCCTGGGTGCCAGTCCGCGCATGAACAATGTCCTTATCTGATGGGAAGGGGCTGCTGCAGCCACAAGCACAGGCCCCCGCCCCGCAGACAACGCGGCTTCCTTTTCCTGACTACACTCGACCGGAACACACCAAACACCAGACACCTGCTCTCCGTTTGTGAAATGCTCAGCTCTTCTTTTCTATTTCTTTAATTTATGTTTTTTGGGTTTTTGTGGTTGTTGTTGTTTTTGAGACGGAGTCTCGCTCTGTCGCCCAGGCTGGAGTGCAGTGGCGCGATCTTGGCTCACTGCAAGCTCCACCTCCCGGGTTCACACCATCCTCCTGCTTCAGCCTCCTGAGTTGCTGGGAATACAGGCGCCCGCCACCACGCCCGGCTAATTTTTTGTATTTTTAGTAGAGACAGCGTTTCACTGTGTTCTCCAGGATGGTCTCAATCTCCCAACCTTGTGATCCACACACCTCGGCCTCCCAAAGTGCTGGGATTACAGGTGTGAGCCACCGAGTCTGGCCTAATTTATGTTTTTATCTTTACCAACTTCTTTCTTTAAAAAAAGTATGGTTAGAAATTTTGGTTTTCATTTTTCTAGACATTATTTTTACCTAAAAGAAAGGCCCACAATAGGCATGCATCTTTTTCAACTTTATTTATTTTATTTTCTTCAATGGATTACTTCCTTTAATTATAAAAGGAATACCGACCATTCTTACTGGGTAAACAATAGGGGGTACAAAAATTAAAAGCGAAAAACTTCCCCCAACCCCTTCTCGTCCTGATCCTTCCACTGTCAGTGTGAACACCTCTTAGTGTCTGTTTCACCCACTGTCTGTGCTCCTGCTCATAAACCTGCAGATTTCTTTCTTATTTTTTTTTCTTTTTTTTTTGAGGCGGAGTCTCGCTCTGTCACCCAGGCTGGAGTGCAGTGGCACGATCTCAGCTCACTGCAACCTCTGCCTCCCGGGTTCACGCCATTCTCCTGCCTCAGCCTCCCGAGTAGCTGGGACTACAGGTGCCCGCCACCACACCTGGCTAATTTTTTGGATTTTTAGTAGAGACAGGGTTTCACCGTATTAGCCAGGATGGTCTCGATCTCCTGACCTCGTGATCCGCCCACCTCGGCCTCCCAAAGTGCTGGGATTACAGGCTTGAGCCACCGCGCCCGGCCTAACATGGGACGGTTGTAACATCAATATGTATATGCACCTCCTTTTTTCCATCAGCTTCCACGGTTACGTTGGATCGTCGTGAATTCGGCGGTCACCTGTTGATGGAGATCTCAGCATTTCACGTCGTGTGTTTGGCATCGTTTTGTTGTTTCTGTGACACTGAAGGCAGTGCCAGTGCCCTTGTTCATGCACCTTGTGGTGACAGGGCGCAATTCAGACTAAGGCCCAAAACAAGATGGAAGAGCCACAGGGTATTTACATTCTGAACTTAAAAGATGAAGACAAAATCTTTGTAGAAATATGGGCTGGGTGCCATGACTGATGCCTGGAATCCCAGCACTTTGGGAGGCCGAGGTGGGTGGATCACGAGGTCGGGAGTTCGAGACCAGCCTGGCCAACATGATGAACTCTTGTCTCCACTAAAAATGCAAAAATTAGCCAGGCATGGTGGCGGGCGCCTGTAATCCCAGCTACTTCGGAGGCTGGGACAGGAGAATTGCTTGAACCCGGGAGGTGGAGGCTGCAGTGAGCCGAGATGGCACCACCACACTCTAGCCTGGGCAACACAGTGAGACTCTGTCTCAAAAAAAAGAAAAGAAATATGGGCAAATAATATACACAGGAGACTTATATCTTACAGGAAACACTCATGGCCAATGTGCATGCAAGAAAGTTAGCAGCCATCACACAAATGCAAAGAAAAACAAAAATGAGGGGCAGTTTCTTCAGGGCTGGTGAGGGGCGGGGAAGGGCACCACCAGTCACAGCCGCTAGGGCGACCCACTCACTCCCGGAGACTGCCTTTTTAAAATGATTCTTAGCATTGAAAGCCCTGCATCCCTGGAAATCTCTCATACTTGGGCAGACCGGGCCACTCAAGTGGCTGAGGAACATTCAAACCTTTCTGTTTTGTTTTGAGATGGAGTCTCGCTCTGTCGCCCAGGCTGGATTACAGTGGTGCAATCTCGGCTCACTGCAACCTCCATCTCCCGGGTTCAAGCGATTCTCCTGCCTCAGCCTCCCAAGAAGCTGGGAGTACAGGCATGAGCCATCACACCCGGCTAATTTTGTTTTTGTTTTTTTTTTGTTTTTTTTTGGGGGGGGGTCTTTAGTAGAAACGGAGTTTCACTATATTGGCCAGGCTGGTCTTGAACTCCTGATCTCAAGTGATTTGCCTGCCTCAGCCTCTCAAGCGCTGGGATTACAGGTGTGAGCCACTGTTCCCGGCCCTATTCAAACCTTTCTCAAGGCATATGTCAGCAACAAGCCCAGACCCCAGCAGCACTCACCTCACCAGCAGGACACCCCACTCAGGCAGGCTGCAATTTTCTTCCTTTCTTTCCTTTCTTTTTTCTTTCTTTCTTTCTTTCCTTCTTTTCTTTTTTTTTTTTTTTTGAGATGGAGTCTCGCTCTGTCACCCAGGCTGGAGTGCAGTGGCACCATCTCGGCTCACTGCAACCTCCTCCTCCCGGGTTCAAGTGATTCTCCTGCCTCAGCCTCCCAAGCAGTTGGGACTACAGACAACTGCCACCATGGCCAGATAATTTTGTGTTTCTGATAGAGATGGGGTTTCACCATGTTGGCCAGGCTGGTCTCTAACTCCTGACTTCAGGTGATCTGCCCACCTCAACCTCCCAAAGTGCTGGGATTCCATATGTGAGCCACCATGCCCGGCCAGGCTGCAATTTCCCTACATGGCCTGTGTTATTCTGTGATCCTCCTGCCGTGGCTAGAACCAAAATAAATGATGGGGGTGACGGGGACCCCGTTAGTTCTCATTCGAATGACAGTGGTTTGCATTTCATATGTTAAGGTCGTGTTCACCACTGGCTCCTGAGAAGCACGATTCCTCATGTTTGAGCAGTTTCCTCCCATCTCTCTTTGGCTTTGGGTTTTGCCATGAGTGGCTTTGGAGTTTTGTCAAGGGCATCTTGGGCACCTATAGAGAAGGTTTGCTATTTTATTTGGTTTTCTGGCAGCTGATCATCTTTCCGGCTAGCACCCTTGTTTCTTTGGGGGAAAACACTTCATGTGTATAGTTTTTGTTACATGAGTATTTTCCTTCCACCACTAAAGGCGAAGAAGCACAGTCCCCCGGCCCCCAGCAGCAGAAGGCAGGTGAGCACGGCAGCCAGCCCCACTTGACAGCCAGCCCTGCTCAGCGTCCCGGATGTGCAGGAGACTGGGACCCTGAACAAGGCTGCTGCCAGGGCAGCATCTGAGTGGGCGCCAGGCATGCTCCTGGCTTCCCCAGACAGCTGTGGTCTTTTACTGGTATAACTCTGCCTAAATCATCCAGGGCCTGTGGACGCTGACCCATGGGGTTGAAGGACACTGCGGCCCCCTCCCAGTCAGAGTGGAAGTGTGTGGAGAGCAGACGACTGCCTGGATTTCAATGCAAACCGCTCAGGGCAGAACTTGCATGGACGCTACAGCTGGCCTGCAGCTGTCCCCTCGGGCACTGGACAAAGTGTCTGCACGAATGTCCTCAGTGACCACAAACCTCTGTGTTGGCTGCATGGACCCACAGCAAGAAGCGGCGAGGTGGGTCCTGCAGCTGTCAGTCCATCCCCGACAGGCGCGCGAGAAATGGCACCTCTTCCAGACTCCCAGGAACCATTCTACACCAGGGACTGGGGGTCCAGAGGCTTCCGTCCCACCCATTGCAGCCCCCCAGGTCTAACAGCACAGATCGCCCACACCTGGGTATAGGAATGACAATAGTGGAGTTGGATCAGGACTCCAGCAGCTACCGCTCCGGGACAGTTGGCTTGCTGGAGCAAATCATTGCGGTGTCTGGTGTCTGCCGGGGGGCTGAGATCTGGGCTGTGTTTGTCTCTATCCAAACAGACAGAACGTTAGAATGAGGTTGTCTTTACTGCGTATCCCTGATGTTCGGGAGCCTGTGTGGGCGAGCCGTCACCTCCTGGCACTGCCTCAAGGCGGCACCACCTTGCAGGGTGCCCTGCTGGTCCAGCATGCGGGAGCCCTGGCACCCATCAACCCCAGAATGAGGCACAGCGGGCAGCTGGGGATAGAGCCCGTGGCATCCCAGAGGGTGCTGCCCAGGCATGTCCTGGCACTCTTCTACCTGGATGCCCATGCCACTCAGAGAGGGGCACCATGACTGGCTGTCCTGCTCGAGGAAGGAGGTACCCCAGCAGCACCTCATTCTGTGGTTGGGACGCATTTCCCTGGGATCCAAGGGGCTGTCAGCCCTGGGGGAGGCCCAGGTGAAGGAGCCCACTCGTGGGCCCGGCCCGCAGTGCCCCCACTGTCCCTGGAGGCCCCCTGTGCTCCAGGTGGCCCGGCAGGCTCACGCTCCACAGGGAGCTTCAGGAAGCCCCAGGAGATGAGTATGCAGGGCCCAGGGCCTTGGAGCACAGCCAGGCCTTCTCCATCCACTGAGGAACACTTCTTCCTTTGACTACAAACAATCCCTACTTTCTCCTAAATTTCTGTGGGAAAATAAACTCTTGAGTACGTGACACCAAGTGGCATGAGGCCCCACAGGGTGCACCAGACCCGAAGCCGCGGGTTCCAGGGGGCTCCTGATGCAGGAGGAATGTGACAGTGGAGAAGGCGTGTGCTCCTCAAGGAAGAAGGGGACGGGAATGGGAACAGAGGCACACGCAGGCCACAGCCCCCTACCCCCTGCCCAGCCTCAGGCCTGTCTGTGGACAGCTGCATCCGCCCGGATAACCCAGGCCCTGCTGCGGTCACAGGGAGCCCTGAAATCACAAGGCTGTTATCTTAGTTTATGTTTCCTCAAAAACAGACACTGAGCCAAAGGCTGGAGGGCAAAGCTCACGGGTTGGGGGCGGATTCGGGGAAGCGCAGGGAAGAGGGAGGAGGAGGCCAAGGAGGCCTCAGTGCAGGAACAGCTGCTGGGGACCCTCTGCAAGGCTGCAGGGGACGCCATGGTGTCCTCTGAGTTATTTCTCTTTCATTAGTACAGATTGCCCCTAGAAGGGCATTAGCCTCCCTGACTCCAGCCTTCCCCACAGGCTGGACTCCATGCTGGTGTCCACAGGTGACCTCGAGGTGGGCGAAGATGTGCACACAGGGCCCAGCTGTGTCTGCTGCAGTCGGCTTGTGCGTATCACAAGCTGACGCGACATGAAGCCCTTCAGAGTCCCCTCAAGTAAAGGCTTGGGGAAGTGAGCTCCCACCGACACATGGGCGGCCATTGCTGCATCCTTCATTCCCCATCATACAGATAAGAGAGACAGGGTGGTAGGGGTAGGGGAGAGAAAGGGGAGAGAAAGGGAGAGAGCGGGGGAAAGAAGGAAGAGAGAGAGCAAGAGACAGAGAAAGACGGAGAGAGAAGGGAGAGAGAGCAAGAGAGAGGGGGAAGAGAAGCAGAGACAGAGATGGAGACAGAGACGGAAACAGAGGCAGAGACAGAGATGGAGATGGAGACAGAGACAGAGATGGACTCAGAGAGATAGACAGAGAGTGAGGATGATGAATAGCGAACAGCTGCCAGGTGAGGTTTTGCAGAATACATGCAACAGGCAGGCTCTAAATGGCTGAAAGTCTGCTTGTTTGGGGCTATTTTTAAAACAATTGAATGTATAAAAATCTGAGTTTGGTGCCAGTGGGCTCTTGAACTAATGAGCTCAGCCTGCAGGGAAGAAATAAGTGACCCAAGGGCCAGTCCCCAGAGGCCATCTCTGGCTCGTTTAGGTAACGACCACTCGTCCTTGCCCTCAGCATTCAGGTGGGCCTGGCCCACACTGGGTGAGAAGCAGGGGCCACCGGAAGAGATGGGCGGCCTCCTTGGAGGCTGAAATCATCCCCAGGCCCATCTGGGCTCCGTGGGCCTCTGGACACACAGGCACACATGGGTGCTACAGCCAGGGACAGTGGTATGGACAGCAAGTCTGCGCCCCGGTGGTGGCAGAAAATCATTTCCTTTATTTGATTCTCATTCACTGACTTCTTTTCTTTGGTCATGGGAAAGCCCAAAGCCCTGAGTTGACTGGATTCTCTGAGCAGAAGTGGACGCCGGCATCCAAGCTGGGTGTTGTCTGGAGTCCCCCGTTTCCCCAACTCAGGCTCCCAGGCCTCAGGGTTAACACAAAGCAAGGAGCCCAGCAGGGAAGGGCTGTCCCAGGCCACGAGGGTACCCAGTGCATGTTCGGATGCTTCCACTACGCCCTTCAGGGGCAGGCGGGAGCACACGGGCCCAGAGAATCCTCATAAGACTGTTCAGACCAGGCCAGGCTCGCCTGCCTCTGCACCCAGGGCGTGCAGGCTGGCAGCCAGGAGGCCCAGGTCAGGCGGTGGCCACCCGCCCGGGTCGCCCAGCATTGGAGGGAAGGGACAGCCACGGTGCACCCCGACCCGCGGTCTGCCTGTGTGCTTCAGGGGACAAGGAGGCCTTGGAGGGCCGTTTCCGAGACCAGGCTGCAGGTCCTTCACCCTGAATGCCAGGGATGAGCTCACAGGAAGAGAGCTGGGTCTTCCCCGGGCTCCCTGCTTTAAAGGGCACCCCCAGGCACCTGCCAAAGGAGAGCTTTATCCCTCCAGGGAAAACCAAGTTGCACCCCCGGAAAGCACGCCGCCCCCTCCTGCAGCTCCCTCCACCCGGCTGGCCCTCCAGGGCTTCCGCGCAGCCCGGCCCGGTTCTCCAGCGCGGAGCCGCGTTCCTTTTGCTATGCAACAGTGCCACCTGGTGGCCAGCCCGCGCAACAGCCTCCTGGAAAGGGAGCTCTGGAGCCAAGGCCCCTGCGTGGAATTTTGATTTTTTTAAAAAAAAATGACTGAGCCATTAAAGGTGCCCACGTTGAATTCAACAGTGAAGAGTGACGTTCCTGACGCCGCGCTTTGGAAAGCAGCTCAGGGGCGCTGATGCCGGCAGAAACGTGGCCAGCGCGGTTCCTGAGTGGGAAAGGCTAACCCCACTGCCAGGCCCACGGCTTTGCCAAGCGACACGTGGCGGTTTATGCAGAAGGAAGGTTCATGGAATATGAGCGGTTTGTCTCTGGTTTTTCCTTTAGAGTCTGTGCGCATATAATTTTTTAAACAGCCCACAGAGTGCACGCTTTGGGCGGTGATTGTCCAAGATTCGGTTAAAGTGACAAAAACGACAAAGTCCTTCCTCATCTCAAGGTCCAGACGGGGGCAGGCGGGGGATCCTGAATGTTCCCTGTCACTTCTCGCTAGGCGTCGGTTCTTTCTCGATGGCCAACGTGGGTCTCTGCTGCCAGGGTGAGGAGGAGGGTCACTCCAGCCTGGGCATCCGTTAGTTGGTGCCTGGCGGGGTTTCCGTCTCGATCTCATGTAGTTCAGGCCTGCGACTCCACGCACACCTTTCAAAGGCAGCAGAGACAAGCAGCGTCTGATGCCTCCGGGGGCATGCGGTGGCAAAGCCAGTGAGCCTGCATTCATCAGGGTCGGCTCCAGTGGACGGGGTGTGCTGTCCCATGCCTGGGGGAGCCCAGGCTCCAAGGTGGCTTCAGAGAGGTACTCAGGAGGGTGACGCTTTGGTGTGAATGCATCCCATCCGAAATTCCTGCAATGAAATGTAACAGGCCGGGCCTTTGGGAGGGGAGTAGGCGGTGAGGAAGGCCTCCTCTCATGCGAATGGGATTAAGACTCCTCTGAAAAAGGCTCCATGCAGCATTAGCAATGTCCCAGCTTCTGGCTCCTAAACTTCTCCTTACACAGAGCACTTGAACATGGACATAATTCAGCCAAGATCTTTGCCATTTTGCAACAAGGTCGGTCTTTCCTCTAGCGTCCAGTAAGATATTCCTCACTTCTGGCTGGGTGGGGTGGCTCACGCCTGTAATCCCAGGACTTTGGGAGGCTGAGGTGGGAGGATCACTTGAGCCCAGGATTTCAGACCAGTGTGGGCAACATGACGAAACCCCAAAAGACAGAGAGAGAAGAGAAAGGGAGAAGAGAAGCAGAGACAGACAGTGGGGATTATGAATAAAGAACAGCTGCCATGTGAGGTGGCAGGGCGGGGTAGGGCAGCCTGCAGTCCCAGCTATTTAGGAGGCTGAGGTGAAAGAATCATTTGAGCCCAGGAGGCTGAGGCTGCAGTGAGCTGAGATCTCGCCACTGCACTCCAGCCTGGGTGACAGAGCCAGACCCTGTCTCAAAGAAAAAAAAATCCTCACTTCTAAGACCCCATCAGAATAGTCTTCACTCTCCATATTTCTACTAACTTTCTGTTCACAACCATTTAAGTGTGAGGAGAACTGGGCTTTTCCGCAGCACCCTCTTCCGAGGACCTGCCAGAATCACCCTTAGTGGTGATTCTCTGTGGTCATGAGAATCTAGGCTGCTTCTAGCATGCACCTTCCAAATCCTCCAGCCTCTACATTACCCAGTTCCAAAGCTGCTTCCACAGTTGTAGGTATTTGTTATAGCAACAGCCTCACTGCTGGATGTGCCCTTCTGCTGCCTCCCACTTGAGGACACAGCGTTCACCTCCTCTGAAGGTCACAGCCAAGGGCACCAGCTATGAAGCAGACTGGGGCCCTCACCAGACACGAACCTACCAGTGCCTCGATCTTGGACTTCCCAGCCTCCACGACTATGAGAAATCAGTGTTGTCCTGTATACATCCCCCAGTCTCAGGGATTGCATTACAGCAGCGCAAACAGCCAGCAACAATGACATAGGTGCCCTTCTCAGCCAGTATGCAGGAGAGCTGGAGAAAAGCCAGCTGTGGACCTGCAGCTAAAGGAGCCAGAAAAAACGGCAAAGGGAAGAAAGAGGAGGAATCCGGGGCAGGCAGGAGACGCCACGGGTGATGCAGGCCCCAGGCAGGAACCTCTGGGTGTGGAGGTTCTAATCCTGGCACCCTCGGGCCCCGAGCACCCCAGGGTCCTGGTCCAGCACATCCACCGTGGGGGTGAGCTTGAGTGTGGGACTCCTTTCAGGAAGCACAAGGGACACCGCAGAAATCTGCTCTTTACGCTCCAACCTTCTCTCATGCTGGAGACAGCAAGGCCATTTATGGAGAGATTCGCAAACCAGTCCTAGCATGCCCCCATCCCTTCAGGACAGGACGTCCCCATGTGTCAGAGTTGCTGGAGCAGTTCAGACAGCTCTTTGACACAGAAGAGGGATGGAGTGCCACAGCGCCCTGCAGGCACAGGGAGGTCATGAGCTTCACGTCACCTAGGTTGGGCCACAGTGCCAGGCTGTTTGGCCAAACGCCAGTCTGAATGTTGCTGTGAAGGTCATTTAATCAAAGTCATTTTAGATCAGTAGGCTTTGAGTGAAACAGATGTCCCTCTGACAATGTGGGTGGGCCTCATCCAGTCAGAGGAAGGCAGGTGGGCCTCACCCAATCAGGTGAAGGTCTTAAAAGGAAAAGACTGAGTTCCCACAAGAAGGAAGGAATTCTCCCTTCAGGCTGTAGACTGCAACAGCAGTTCCTGTGGGAATGACCAGCCTCCTGCCTGCCCTGTGAGTTTTGGAGTTGCCAACCTCTACAATAGCACGGGATAATCCTTTGAAATAAATCTCTCTATGTCTCTGCTCTCTCTCTCTTTTTACATATACATGCATGTGGATATAGATGAGTGTGTATAGAGATAGAAATATCTAGCTATAGAGATAGATATCTGTCTGTGTCTATATAGGTACATACAGATAGATAGATATAATAAATATTTATATTCATATTAATATTATTTAATATTTAATGCATAATTCATAATCTTTTTATTTATATTATTCATATTTCCTATACTTAGCATATATTATTATATACTATATGTATTATTTTGTATATTTTTATTAATGTATGTGTATATGTTACTCATATTAATTTATATATTAATTTTTTTTTGAGATGGAGTCTCGCTCTGTCACTCAGGCTAGAGTGCAGTGGTGCAATCTTGGCTCACTGCAACCTCCACTCCCAGGTTCAAGCGATTCTCCTGCCTCAGCCTCCTGAGAAGCTGGGATTACAGGCATGTGCCAGTGCACCCGGCTAATTTTTGTGTTTTTAGTACAGACAGGGTTTCACCATGTTGGCCAGGCTGGTCTTGAACTCCTGACCTCAAGTGATCCACCAGCCTTGGCCTCCCAGACTGCTGGGATTACAGACTTGAGCCACTGCCTCCGACCTTCAATTTATATATTAATATTAACAAGATCTTAAAGATGATTCTGTGGGTGTACATAACATGGTAAATACAGGTGTGTGCTTGTGAGTGAGAGCACGCAAGACGTGCCCTCGGCCTGGTCTTCCCTCCAGCAGCCTTGGCTGTGGCTGGAAGGAGCCACTCCAGGATCCAGGGAAGCCCTTGTTTGGCCACTGCCTGCACCCCTCACCATATGCACCTTTTACTGAGTGCCGTGGAGCACCTGCCACCTGGAGCCACACAGACAAATCAGGAGCCGGCGCTGGCTCGGTGATCTGTGATTAGCTTTGTGGCTCAGATGCTCTTCCTGAACGATGGGCTCTCTGCTCACAAAATGAGAAAGACGTCTTTCTCGTGGCGCCATTCCTCCCGATTCCGTGTCACCTCGGAGGCCCTAAATCATCCCTGCTTCCTTTGCTCTTCGAATGAGCAGACAGCAGGACGCACACGCATCCCTGAACCTGGGCGCTTTATGCTGAGAGCGCCACACAGGTTATTTTTCCTCTTTATGTCATCTCCTACGGTCCTGCTGATAATTTAAAATTTAAAATTGTACTTATCAATAATAAGATATATCCCTGTCCCAGGCCCTCCCCTGCCTCTCTGGATGGATAATTCTTCAGTTACCACGGGAACCCTGAACGTGGAAGAAGACCTTGGACCCAGATCCTGCTCCACACCATCACTCACCCCGCGGTGAGCAGCAGAAGGGCCTTTGAGAGGGTCGCCTCTTCTGTCGCTGTTCCGGTGGAGGAGGGGCGCAGACCCCTTTCCTGGGGACAGGAGGCCGTGGGCATCAGCAGCAGGCAGGAGGGACCACCTCTTTCTCCCCGCCATGCAAACAGCCACACTCGCCACTGCCCAGGTCCTCCTCCGGCTGCCACTGTAAACTGAGGCAGCTGCTGCTTCCCCCCAAACTGTCCCCCAGCCAGGGCTCGGCCCGCAGTGGGACTCTGCGGGCCATCTGACCGCGCTCAGCTTCTCATCCGCCCGAGATGCCAGGCTCCGGAGGCACCATCCCTCACGGGGACTCCGCGGTCTTGGAAAGGCCGCTGTCCTGCTTCGGGAAGGCCGGGTGGCTGCGCCCTCTGGCCGGTGAGAAGCTCAGTGCGGGCCGGGCCGCCTCCCCGCCTTCAGGAGCATTTGCCATTCCTGCATTACCTAGGACTGCAAAGGTCAAACTATGTCTGTTTGAAAGGTAGCCAAAATCTCAAGCTAAAAGATGATCATTCAGGATGCTTTTACATTCAAACATCTTAAGTGACGCTCTAGTCTCCCACTGAAATCCGTCCAGGTCTGCGGAGAGGCCCTGCAGACAGCCTAGAGCAGTGACACCCTCCAGGCCGCGTCTCCATGCGGGAGTCCGTAGCCACCTTTACCAAACACGGAAGACCTCCAGCGGCTGCTGCTGCTTTGTGTGTGTGCAACACCGGGACCCTTTGCTATTTTCCTTCGTGCTTTCCTTTCTTTTCTTTTCTTTTCTTTTCTTTTCTTTTCTTTCTTTTCTTTTCTTTTCTTTTTTTTTTTTTTTTTTTTTTTTTTTTGAGACGGAGTCTTGCTCTGTCGCCCAGGCTGGTGTGCAGTGGGGCCATCTCGGCTCACTGCAAGCTCCGCCTCCTGGGTTCACGCGATTCTCCTGCCTCAGCCTCCAGAGTAGCTGGGATTGCAGGCGCCCGCCACCACGCCCACCTAATTTTTTTGTATTTTTAGTAGAGACGGGGTTTCGCCGTGGTCTCAATCTCCTGACCTCGTGATCCGCCCGCCTCGGCCTCCCAAAGTGCTGGGATGACAGGCGTGAGCCACCGCGCCCGGCCGTGCCTTCCTTTCTTGTTTAGCCACTAACATGTATTACTTTCATAATTCAAAAAATTGTAAGTGCAAGAATTCCAAGTTACTGTGTGTCCAAGGCATGAAGCAAACCCAAAAGCTGCAACCTCTTTCCCTGCCGCAAAACCTCATTGCTGTAGTCCCCCTGAATAAAGTCTGTCTCACTGCCTAAAAAGAAAGAAAGAAAGAAAGAAAAACAAGATGGGGCAAAGTACAGAATCTGTGTTATTTCCATTTACAAAGCATCATTGTCCCAAGAGAAAACATTATTAAACTAGACTATTTTCACCATAGAGGCAGTAAAACTTGCTTTTAGGCATGAGAAATAGTTCTCATTAGGAGTGAGAGTTGGTAAAAGATAATCAGAAATGGCTCTATGTTACGCCCTCCTGGCAAGAAACAGCACCTTCTACCACAGCTGTCAATCTTCTTGTGCCAAGAGGGCTCCCATCCGTGCCAGGTCTCAGCACACAGGTCCGCTCTGCGTCCTAGAAAATGCAAAGAACCGGCTGGGTGCAGTGGGTCACACCTGTAATCCCAGCACTTTGGGAGGCCGAGGCAGGCGGATCATGAGGTCAGGAGACTGAGACCATCCTGGCCAACATGGTGAAACCCTGTCTCTACTAAAAATACAAAAATTATTCACGTGTGGTGGCGCTCGCCTGTAATCCCAGCTACTCAGGAGGCTGAGGCAGGAGAATCGCTTGAACCCGGGAGGCGGAGGTTGCAGTGAGCCGAGATCACACCGCTGCACTCCAGCCTGGGCCACAGAGCGAGACTCCGTCTCAAAAAAAAAAGAAAAGAAAAGAAAAAAGAAAATGCAAAGAACTTTCCACAACCCACAGGTGGGCCCCTCTCTGGAAAGGTGGTCGCATTGGAAAGCGGTGCTGTGGAGAGGCTGGTTCTCAGGATGAGCTAGATTGTAAATATTTCTGCTTAAAACAAATACCTCTAAGATACAAAGTTTAAATATAATGTCATCTAAAGTTCCAAAAGTCACTTTAGTGAAAAGTGTTTTGGTCTTTACATCTTAGTGCAAACGGTGCTGAAATGCATCCTCTGGTGACATCTCTCAGCCTCCTTCCGCAGCCAGGCAGCTCAGAGGCCAAGGTGGGCTGACTGAAGGATTTCCAGAAGGAGAAGGAGTGTTGAGAACAGCTCATCTTGAAATCCATCGCCCACCTTTTAGAAAGTGATAAGAAATTAGGATCTTTCTTTTTTTTTTTTTTTTTTTGAGACCAAGTCTCACTCTTGTCTCCCAGCCTGGAGTGCAGTGGTGTGATCTTGGCTCACTGCAACCTCCACCTTCCAGGTTCAAGGGATTCTCCTGCCTCAGCCTCCCGAGTAGCTGGGATTACGGGTGCCTGCCACCATGCCCAGCTAATTTTTGTATTTTTATTAGAGATGGGGTTTCACCATGTTGGTGCTGGTCTGAAACTCCTGACCTCAGGTGATCTGCCTGCCTCGGCCTCCCAAAGTGCTGGGATTACAGGCGTGAGCCACCTCACCTGAGAAACTATGATCTTTTGTAGGGAGGAGATGTTACCATTGACACACTCACCGAATGTTCATTATACTCACAGGCGCACACAGTATTTCAGGCTGCTATCATTTGTCAATCCTGAAGTATTGCTTCAAAATCAATGAACAATCTTGGTGATGACGGGCAAGCATCTACTGTCCAACTCTATGGCTTGACTAACTGACCACTTTCCTCAATATCAAGGGACTCAGGTTTCGATATTTTAATACAAGCTGTAAGAGTTTAGAAAATGTCATTAGACCCCAGCATCAATAATGGGTCCAGGAAACACAGCTCACCAGTGAAAAGCAGGCCAGTGGCCCCTGTTCTCTTGTCAAATTTAGAATAACGGGTTTGGACCAGGTGCCCGCACTGACGATGCAGACCTCGGCTGGTTATGGAAGCCCACGGTCAGGGGAGCTCTTTCCAGAGGAGTCAGCAGTGCTGAACTGCCTGAGACAGGAACCGCAGGCCCTTGGCACCCTCAGACACTGGGGACTGAGAGGGGCTCAGAGGGTGATGCCCTGGGCGACTGGCGGGTGGGGACTGCCCCTCCTGAAGGGACCAAGGTTCCACATGTTCCCCCTAAAAGAGGAAGTCCCAGGAGCACAGGTGTTGAGGCTCCTGTGGATTAAAAGCCCCACCGTGTTACACGGGCAGGTGGCTCCTGTTTTCTGGACGGCTGGGCACAGTGGACTTGACCACCGGAAACCCCCAGGCAGGAGGAAGCCCAGCAGTCCTCAGGCCCTAGGCCAGGGTGGGTGGTGGAGGTAACAGAGAGCCCGGGGACTGCTCCGTGGGCGTTCCTGCCTGCAGCCTTCCCTACTGGCCCACCACCCCCTGTCCTGCTGTGTCACTCAGGAAAGGGGTGAGCGACGGGCCAAGGGGAGGAAGCCTCCAGCAGAAGCCGGAGGTGTTGGTGGAGCCCACTCTGCATGGCCGTGCCCAGAGACCCCAGCCCCTCTGCTGCTCTGCAGAAGCGCTGGCCAGAGAGATGGAGCAGGGAGGGGTATCATTTTCTCTACACCACAGCCTCCTAGTGGATTCCCCGTGGCAGCCAGGGGTGTCCCCTCCCAGGCACTGAAGCTGGCGCATGTGGGGAGACACAGGTGTCCAGGTGTCCTATGGGGGTCCCTGGAGCACCTGCCTCATTCCGCCCGGGTCCACCCCACACTCTGCTATCCCTGAGGGTCACTCACATCATGGTGAATGGGTCCCAGAGCCTCGGTTTCAGGGTGGGTGCCTTAAAACCTTGGCACCCTGGACCTCACCACCCTGTCGCCGAGCTGGGCCGGGCTCCGTCATGTCTCACTCCTACCCCCACACCCCTCTGGACAATGCTCATGCAACAAAGCAGCGCCCCGGGGTTCCCTGTGACTCTGGGGAAGGGGAGAGTCCTACACCTTTTGCACCTGTAGGGACCAGCCCTAGAGGGTCTGTGGGTTTTTCTCCTCATGTGTGGAGACGAGAGATCATAGAAATAAAGACACAAGACAAAGAGATAAAAGAAAAGACAGCTGAGCCCGGGGGACCACTACCACCAAGACGCAGGGACAGGTAGTGGCCCCAAATGCCAGGCTGTGCTGTTATTTATTGGATACAAGACAAGCGGGCAGGGTAAGGAGTGTGAGCCGTCTGCAATGATAGGTAAGGTCACGTGGGTCACGCATCCGCTGGACAGGGGGCCCTTCCCTGCCTGGCAGCCGAGGCGGAGAGAGAGGAGACAGCTTACGCCATTATTTCTGCATATCAGAGACTTTTAGTACTTTCACTAATTTGCTACTGCTATCTAGAAGGCAGAGCCAGGTGTACAGGATGGAACCTGAAGGAGGACTAGGAGCGTGACCGCTGAAGCACAGCATCACAGGGAGACGGTTAGGCCTCCAGATAACTGCGGGCGAGCCTGACTCATGTCAGGCCCTCCACAAGAGGTGGAGGAGCAGAGTCTTCTCCAAACTCCCCCGGGGCAAGGGAGACTCCCTTTCCCGGTCTGCTAAGTAACGGGTGCCTTTTCTAGGCACTGAAGTTACCGCCAGACCACAGTCCGCTAGGTAACAGGCGTCTTCCCAGGCGCTGGCGTTACCTCTAGACCAAAGAGCCCTCGGGTGGCCCTGTCTGGGCATAACAGAAGGCTCGCACTCTTGTCTTCTGGTCACCCCTCACTATGTCCCCTCACCTCCTATCTCTGTATGGCCTGGTTTTTCCTAGGTTATGATTATACAGTGAGGATTATTATAATATTGGAATAAAGAGTAATTGCTACAAACTAATGATTAATAATGTTCGTATATAATCATATCTATGATCTATATCTAGTATAACTATTCTTATTGTATATATTTTCTTCATTACACTGGAAGAGCTCGTGCCCTCGGTCTCTTGCCTCGGCACCTGGGCGGCTTGCCGCCCACATGCACCCCACCCCGTCTTGCCAGAGACTGCAGCCTCTGGGGTGAACCTCCCACCTGGGTATCAGACCCCTGCTGGTGACAATGTGAAGGTGGTTGGGGGTGCCGGGAGACAGGAGCTGAATTGTGGGTGAGGATCCCCCCCAACTGGGAGAGCTCGCAGCCCTGGCAGTTCCCTGATCCTCAGGAGTCCCCTCTGCTTGTCGGGCATCTCGGGGGTTCTTTCTGCTGCTGTTTCCCCAACCTGGTGGTGGAAGGCCTGGCACAGCGGCTCCAGGTCACATGGGCAGGAAAACAGGACAGAGGAGCAGCCACCAGTGCAGCTGTGCCTGCGGCCGGACACACTGACCACCCCAATGTCCAGCGCTGGGGCGGGTCTCTCTGTGCTGTGGGTGGGAGCGTCGAAACGCGGAAGGGGCTCCTCTCCTAGGTGCCAGGTCGGGGCTGCCCCGCAGCGCCCGCCAGACCTCCCTCTCTGAACCTGTGGGCACTGGGGGTCCTCAGCCACTGAAGGGAGAGCCAGGAGTCCTGTCACTTCCCCCGTGCCCATCCCCAGCACTTTTGGAGGGACCTGGAGAAGGAGGGGAGGGGCCCGGCCACAGGGCAGTGGTGCAGCCCCTGGAGTCTCAGCGGTTGCCCTGCCTGCAGCAAGGGTGCTGGGGCTACTGGTGCCTCCCCAGCCTGTCCTGGCCTCCGGTGATGTGCTGTCCCCAGAAACACACGTGGAGGACCCCAGGAGGAGCCCCATCTTGCAGCCCATGGTAAATGGGGCAGATGGGGTCACGGCGCTGCCGACCCCCAGCTCGGGGGTCCAGGGTGCTGCCTCAGCTCCCCTGGGAGGGAGGGAAGGAGGGAACAGGTCCGTCCCGGCAGTCCCCACCCTCCTGAGAGCGAGTTGCTGCCGGTTCATGCCCAGGGTCAGGGTCGGGGTCAGGGTGGACGTGGGCACAGCCGCAGTGGCAGATTCTGCCTCTCTGAAACCTGGGCCCAGGGGTGCGAGACACCCCTCAACCCCCTACCCCCCACCGTGCCTCTGAGCTGCTGGATATGAGCCTATTGCTTCGTGTCGGGGAAGAAGCAGGAGAGAATTATCTGATCCATGAGGAACAACCAGGGAAGAGCCAGGACAGCTCCCGGGCCTCCTGCCAGTGCCCTAAGGAAGACCCCTCCCCAGCTGCGGAGCGGAGGCCAGGTCCTCAGTCCCGGTGGGGAGCGAGAGGCAGCAGTGGGTAAACGCCAGTGGAGGGGGCGGGCCAGGGGGCCCAGGCTGGAGAGAACTTTGAAGGCAGCTTTCCAGAGCCCCAAAACCTCCATCAGGTAAGGGTGGTCTGGGGTGGAGGTGGTCTGGGGTGGAGGTGGTCTGGGGTGGAGGTGGTCTGGGGTGGGATGGGCTGGGGTGGAGGTGGTTTGGTTGGAGGTGGTCTGGGGTGGAGGTGGTCTGGGGTGGAGGTGGTCTGGGGTGGAGGTGGTCTGGGGTGGAGGTGGTCTGGGGTGGGATGGGCTGGGGTGGAGGTGGTTTGGTTGGAGGTGGTCTGGGGTGGAGGTGGTTTGGGGTGGGGTGGTCTGGGGTGGAGGTTGTCTGGGGTGGAGGTGGTCTGGGGTGAGGTGGTCTGGGGTGTGATGGTCTGAGGTTGGAGGTGGTCTCAAGTGGAGGTGGTCTGGTGTTGGAGGTGGTATGGGGTGGGGTGGTCTCGGGTGGAGGTGGTCTGGGAGTGGAGGTGGTCTGGGCTGGAAGTGGTCTGTTTGCCTGCATTCCAGCTGAAAACAACTTCAGACAACTTCAAGGCCGGGATGAGATGAGACAGAACGAGGCCCTTTCATAATTTCATCTAAACACGGACAAATCAAGATCCCGGTGCCAGCCATGAAATGCCAAACCTCCCCTTCTCTCTGCTAACAGGAGCTGGGCCTTGCCTGGGGTCAGACTTTTGCCAGCTGGTCATGCGGGCTCCAGCTTTCTGACAGCCTCCAACCCGGGGTGACCCCCAACCACCCAGCCACAGCCCAGTCCTACAGAGGGTCTTCCTGACGCTCCTCCTGCGACCCCGCGGTGCCCGTGGTGTGTGTGGCCACGTGGTGAGTCGTAGCCCAACCTTTCAACCACAGGCAGCTCCTGGGGCTCTGGCTGGACAGAGACGCCAGGGTCAAGAGGCAGGTGAAGGCTGAGGGTGCTCGGGAGTGGCCAGGGACGGTTCTGAGCATGGAAGTTCTTCCCCACTTCCCCAGGTACCGGCAGGAGTTACTACAGCCACTTTCCACGTGTCTGGGACTCCCCCACGCGTGACCAACTCCCCAGGAAAATGAGATGGCTACAGGCCTCAATCAATCCATTAAAGAAAAGTTTCAGGAAATAGAAACATTACTAACCACAAGCAGAGGGCTGAGGAACTAAGAAATAGCTCTGGATAAGAAGACACGCAGGGCCCAAGCTGCAGGTCCAGCGAGAGGGACGACAGTGGGCGAAGTTCCGAGAAGCCCCTTCCCTGAGGCTCCCACTCCTGTGGGAAGATGGAAGTGGCCCGGGCCGGTGGGGGAGCCCGGCGGGATGCCAGGGCTGCACTGGGCACTGCAGGGGAGCTAGGGCCGGGGGGGGCTCCATGCGAGATGAAAGCTGCCCACCGCTGGCACAGGACTAAGGGCTGTGCACAGCACGGGAAGACCCTCCCTTTAAGAGTTTCTCCCGATGCCCTCTTCCCCCTGCAGCCCTCCTCTGCTCCCCGAGTTCCAAACACACCAGGACGGAGCCTGTTTGAGCCTGGAGCCCTCTGCATTGCTCTGCTGCAGGCTATAAAGCAAAATGCAAAACGCAACGTGCATCACGTCCAGTTCACGTATTTCTACCATGTTTGGGTGTTTTTAAGGGTCCCGCTTCATTTTTATCCTAAAGCCAGTGGCAGCCACTCAATCTTTGGAGACTGGGGCTGTCGCCTGCATCCGCGGTTGGAGTTTGCCAGACACCTGGCGCCTTGGGCCACCTCTGGGCTCCAGAACCTGCAACCCTGGGCACACGGCTCTCCCGCCGTCTTGCCACAGTGCCCCCTGGCGGCCCTGCTGAGTCAAGCCGGCTTCCTGTCTTCCCAGACTGGGCTCTTCCCTGAAACCCGGGAGGGAAAGGTGAGACTTTCAGCCCCTCTGCCCAGAGCTGCTCAGGATGGCTTGGAGCCCTGCACGTATTTGGCAAATATTTACTGTGTGTGCACTATGTGCCTGGCACTGTCATTGAACCAGAGGGTAGAACAATGACCAAAACCAGGTACACCTGTTCTCAGGGCTCCAACCTTCTGGGGAGGGATGGACACAGCAAAGGGGTGTCTGTGAGGTGACACAGTGAAGGGGCGTCTGTGAGGTGACACGTCGAAGGAACGCAAGCAAGGAGACGGAAAGAGGGAGCTGCTAGTTTACACGGGCGCTGGCGAACATAAACGTTTGTGTTTAAGTACAAAGAAAATGGTTGCAGCTGTGCAGGCCTCGGGGGTTCACACTGGGACGATGACCACGGCTGCAGCCTGGTGCCCCCCAGCTTGGGGAAAAGAAGGAAATGAAGAGCAGGGTGCAAGCTCAGATCGAGACGGCCCAAACCCAAGAAGCCAAAAGTGTATTGGGGTGCAAGCTATGCTTTACGCTCTTATGCATTCTTCTTCCATTTGTAAAAAAGTTTGGACATGCAGAGAATCTGCGTTTGGTGCCTTTCAAATCGAGGGAATAAAAGGTCCCGCCTCCACGGGCTGGGAGAGCCTCACACACAACACACAAGGTGATGACTGATTTCTCCTTTTCTGCAAGGAATTTCCTCACTTTCTCTTCCCAGCTCAGGAATGAGCCTTAGGAAGAGGCAGAGGTCGAACCATTTGGTTCAAGCAAGGCCCGGGGTCCGAGAGGGAGGCCTAGCTGGAGGAGATTGGGCGTTGGGAGGGGTGGGGGAGACACCGCAGGTGACCGGAGCCCCCTCCTCAGCACAGCCCCTAGCTCAGGCCCCTGAAGCTCTCTGGGTGGAGGCTGCAATCGTTACTATAAAACCATTGTCTTAGAGAGCAGGCGCCTTCCGCCCCTGGCATGGTGCCGAATAGAGATGTGATTTCGCTTTAGATATGAACGTGCACATTTGCAGGAAAACCTAATTTTGGGCGTGCCTGTGTTTATACTGTATGAAGGGCTTCTCCATCTGTCGCCGTTCTGTATCAGGCATTGATGGTTTATTAATACCTTTTCCGCAACATGGAGAAAACAGATGATGTTTTCCCCCGTGTCTGTCATTACTACGGTGAGTGTTTTATTGTTGGTTTGGTTTTTTGTTGTTGTTTTTCTTGAGACGCCCAAGCTAGAGTGCTATGGCGTGATCTGGGCTCACTGCAACCTCTGCCTCCTGGGTTCAAGCAGTTCTCCTGCCTCAGCCTGCCGAATAGCTGGGATTACAAGCACCTGCCACCACGCCTGGCTAATTTTTGTATTTTTAGTAGAGACAGGGTTTTGCAATGTTGGCCAGGCTTGTCTTGAACTCTTGACTTCAGGTGATCCACCTGCCTCAGCCTCCCAAAGTGCTGGGATTACAAGCATGAGCCACCACATGCAGCCTCATTTATGTCTGGTATTATTTACAATATCAGGCACATTTGCTTTCTTGATGTCAACCCTTCGTTGCCACGATGCATCGTTGTGCAAATCTGATGCTGGGTCTGATTTGCCAATCTCTTGTTTATTTGTCAGCAGCCTGTGGTGGAGCCCAGCCCAGGGTCGGGGGTGAGAGTGTGGCAGGGTCAGGTGAGGACCCGGGAGGGGTCCGAGGAGCTGGGCCCTGGAGAGGGAGAGAGATAGGCCAGACACAGAAATGGTGGGACTCCTGGTTCAAAAGGTAGCAAAAGGCTGGGTGTGGTGGCTCACACCTGTAACCCCAGCACTTTAGGAGGCTGAGGTGGGCAGATCACGAGGTCAGGAGTTCGAGACCAGCCTAGCCAAAATGGTGAAAGCCTGTCTCTACCAAAAATACAAAAATTAATCAGGGGTGGTGGCGTGTGCCTGTAATCCCAGCTATTCCGGACACTGAGGCAGGAGAATTGCTTGAACCTAGGAGGTGGAAGTTGCCGTGAGCCAAGATTGTGCCAGTGCACTCCAGCCTGGGGGAAATAGCAAGACTCTGTCTTGGGACAAAAAAAAAGCAGCAAAAAACCACAGTGAAAGCTTTCCCCTTTAGGAATGATTTTATCACTTACACAATAAATAGGGGTGATAGTGGTGCCAAGTAACAACACCAATTTACAAACTACAAAACAATAATTTTTGGATTCAGAATTTTATATAATAAATAATATTTTATTAATAGGATGTTTATGATTTTTCCAATTTTTTCTGCAAATTCATTTATTAGATCATCAAAATGGATACTTCAGAAATTTCATTTTCGGTTTTGACATAACTGAAAGTTATTTCAGTCTTTTTTGGCAAATGCAAGATCTCAAATAATTTTTGATGACCTTTGAGAAGAATCTTTGTGCTGATACAGCTGTTATTGGAGCAGTAAAGGTATCTTACAGGCTGTGACAACATTAGGATTAGTTTCTGATAAATTGTTTTAAATGATAAATGTCAGCGCATGTAGACCTGGTGATTCTTGTGGAGAAATTTTTTTTAAAAAAATTAATTCTTCAAAGAAATCAGTTTCATGGGAGTCTAAATTATTTTTTAATAAGCTTTATTTTTGGAATTGTTTTAGATTTACAGAAAAATTGCAAAGCAAGTTCCCATACACCTTACACCCAGCTTCCCCCATTATTAGTATCTTACTTCAGTATGGTATGTTTCTTACAATTAGAGAACCAATATTGGGCCAGGCGTGGTAGCTCACACCTGTAATCCCAGCACTTTGGGAGCCTGAGGCGGAAGGATCACTTGAGGTCAGGAGTTGGAGACCAGCCTGGCCAACATGGTGAAACCCTGTCTCTACTAAAATACAAAAATTAGCTGGACGTCGTGGCTGGCGCCTGTAATCCCAGCTACTCAGGAGGCTAAGGCAGGAGAATCGCTTGAACCCAAGAGGTGGAGGTTGCAGTGAACTGAGATCATACCAGTGCACTCCTGCCTGGGCCACAGAACAAGACTCTGAAGAAAAAACTAAACTAAACTAAACTAAAAACTAAATAATGACCAAGTACGGTGGCTCACGCCTGTTATCCCAGCACTTTGGGAGGCTGAAGCAGGCGGATCACTTGAGGTCAGGAGTTCGAGACCAGCCTGGCCAACATGGCAAAACCCCGTCTCTACCAAAAATACAAAAATTAGCCAGGCGTGGTGGTGGACACCTGTAATCCCAACTATGCAGGAGGCTGAAGGAGGAGAACTGCTTGAACCCGAGAGACAGATGTTGCAGTGAGCCGAGATCACGCCACTGTACTCTAGCCTGGGTGACAGAGCGAGACTCCATCTCAAAAAAAAAATTAAAATAAAATAAAATAGAGAACCAATATTGATGCATTATTATTAACTAAAGTCCACACTTTGTTCTTCTCTCATTAGCATTTACGTGCTGGTCCGTTTCTGTCCCCGGGCCCCACCCAGGGTCCCACGTGACATTCCCTTGTCCGTCTCCCTGGGCTCCTCTGGGCGGTGACCGTTTCCCAGGCTCTCCTTGTTGGTGGTGACCTGGAGGGTTCAGAGGACTGCTCAGGTGTTTGTAGGGTGTCCCTTATTAGGATCTGTCTGGTGTTTTCACGATTAGACGGGGCTGTGGATGTGGGAAGGAAGAGCACAGAGGGAGATGCCCTTCTCGTCACCCCGTGCTGAGGGCCTGTCCTGTTGGCATGGCTCGTCGTGCCTCGCGGGCTATGCTGCCCCCGTCTCCTGGCTGTGTTTGTGTCTTTCAGGATTCCCCACGGAAAGATGCTCCTGAATTCCCCTGTCCCGTGCTGCATTCTCAGAAAGAGGTCCCAGTGCTGCCTGCACTTAAGGGGTGAGGGCTACACAGAATTAGTGGGAACTCTTCTGCATGGGGGACTTGCCTATCCACTCCCATTTATTTATTTACTTTTATTTATTTACTTCTTTTGGAGACGGAGTCTCGCTCTATTGCCCAGGCTAGAGTGCAGTGGTGCGATCTCGGCTCACTGTAACCTCTGCCTCCCGAGCTCAAGTGATCCTCCTTTATTTATTTACTAAATCACTTATTTCTATCAGTCATGTTCATGGATATCTATTTTACAGTTCGGGTTAGAGTCAATGCTACTCTCTCTATTTATTGTGTTGATCAAATTGTTCTATTTGTAACCCCCAGGAGCGCTTTCTGTTGGCTCACGTGTCCCTACAACGTGCTTCTGATACTTTCCATCACTGCATGTATTGGGGCTTTGCTTTGTTTTCTTTTAGATTTTTTTTTTCTGGAGCTACAAGATGCTCCAGACTCACCTTTATCTTTTTTGCCTCAGTCCTAGAAGTTGCCATGTCTCCAAGGGTCCCTGGTCCTTGGGTTGGAGCCTGGTATTCAACCTCCTGCTGCTGTGGGGTGCCATAGGTTTGGGGCCCTCTTGAGGCAGGAGAGGTTGTCAAGGAAGTGGCCATCTCCTCGCAGCAACCGTGGTGACCACTGGGCCAAGGCAACAAGCCTCCCCATTCACGTCGTCATTGAGCTCATTCGAACAAAGCTATCTCAGGAGGGAATTTCCCCTGTAGAGAGCATGCACATTTTGATTTTACCTGTCCTCACTCTGACCCTTTGCTCCTTATAATAGTATAAAGCACATCCCTGGGTGGAGATTTAAGATGCTAATGAGACATGAATGGTATGAACAAGCGTGTACAGCTACTGCACACATGCACCCAGAGGACCACCCAGAACATGCTTCCTAGCAACACCCCTTCCCAGCTCCTTAGGAATAATCATGGAAGAGTCCCATAAAGGGAGCCTCCCTCAGGCCGGTCTCTGCTTCTCATCCTTGTGAACAGCCCGCCCTGCACCCTGTCTCGCCCAGGGCATCCTGTCTGTTCTGCACCTCACTTCCACAACATTCTTTCTCCTTTGCAATGAATTCCGCTCGGCTGCTCCCACACTGTGGAGTGCACTTTCCTTCTCAATAAATCCCAGCTTTTGCTCTCCTCGCTTTATTTGTGCGTTTTGTCCAATTCTTTGTTTGAGAAGCCAAGATCCTGGACACCCTCCCTGGGTACAGTAACAGGGCTTCCGTAACAGGGCTACAGAAGCCTTAGTGGGGGGATAATTGAGGGGAGAAAAAGGCAGGAAGTAGGCGAGCCCCACCCACAGAGTCTCCACCCCCTCCTCCGGTCCTGTCTACACTGCACGAGCTAGAAGATAAAAATGTCAATTCCAAGGCCAGGGTGAGAATGAGGTCCTGCCAATCGAATGCCTTTCCCCAGGTCTGGAAGGGAAGGCAGGCAGAGGCCCATGCCAGGGCTCAAGTGCTGCTGCGCATGAGGGCGAGCTGTGCACCTGTGGCTTCTGCTGCAGCTGGTCACCTGCTTCCCCAGAGAAAGGCTTGGGTAGACGCACACCCCAGTGCTGTCACCAGCCTGTGGACGCCCTGAGGTGGCTGTGGCAGAGGTGGCGGTGAGGTGGCTCCCTGTCCCTGGACCACATGGCAGGTGCACTGGAGCTCAGGGTTCCAGGACAGCTTGGAAACCTGAGGTCCCCAGGGGCCCCCGCTGTGGACAGCTGGAGTCCTTCCAGGAAGTCCAGGTCCCAGAGCTGCCATCGAGAACATAAGCTTCTGATTTCCACTCTAGATCCCCCTGACAGAAAATACCCTGAATGACTGTTTTCCTGCTCTGACTGAGCCACCGCTTGTACTCGCTTCCTGGGGCAGCCCTAACAAAGGACCACAAATGACAGAAACATCCCTCTCCCAATCCTGGGGGCCAGAAGTCCGAGATGCAGGGGTGGGCAGGGCTGGTTCCTTCTGGGGCTGCAACAGAGCCTCTGTTCTGGTCTCTTCTAGCTTCTGGGTCTTGCTGGCAACCCTTGGTCCTCTGTGACTTATAGAAGCATCACCCCAACCTCTACCTTCATCTTCACGTAACGTCCTAATGTCCATCAATGACAGACTGGATAAAGAAAATGTGGTACTTATACACCATGGAATACTGTGCAGCCATCAAAAAGAATGAGATCATGTCCTTTGCAGGGACATGAATGGAGCTGGAGGTCAATATCCTTCACAAACTAATGCAGGAACAGAAAACCAAATATCGCGTGTTCCCACTTATGAGTCAGACCTGAGCACTGAGTACATAGGAACACAAGGGAACAACAGCACTGTGGTGCATTTGGCGGGGGTGGTGGGGGCAGGAGGAGGGTGAGGATCAAAAAGTCACCTATTGGGTACTATGCTCATTACCTGGTTGATGAAATAATCTATACACCAAACCCCCATGACATGCAATTCATCTATATGGCAAGCCTGCACATGCAGCCCTGAACCCAAAATAAAAGCTGAAAGAAAGCTTGTCTCCAGGCTAGGTTGCCTTAGAAGGCACTGGGCATTTGGGCTCCCCCAGCTCTGGAATTTTTTTTTGGAGGTGGGGATCTATTCAACTCCCGGCTGCCTTCGAGCTTGTGTCCCGCAGCTGGCGTTGTGTGCAGTCCTGCCTTCTCCTGTCTGGTTTTTCAAGGCCCTGTGAGATTGCAGATAAGCCCAAGCTCCTCCGCATCTCCACGTCTGGCTCCTGCATGCACTAGGGGCTTCTTAGGGCCTGATGTACCGCACAGCTCAGCATACAGACCCTTCCTCATCCTTCCGCTGAAGTGGCCTGGCCCTGAGCTTCCCTCCCTCCCATGGGACGGCAGTGCCTCCACGGCTGACACCACCGCCCTCACCACCTTTCCCTCTCCCCACCTCTCCCCACATACCAGACTGTGAGCTTGGATTTACTCTGCTCTGTCATCTCTGGAGCCCAACACAACAAGGGGCCCAGAGCAGAAAGCTATAGACGTTAGTTCTGTGCATGAAGACATGGACCATGACATGAAAGATGCTGAGGGGAGAGAAATGGGAACAGGCCCAGGGGTGGAGGCAAGAAGATGGTGCTTCTGGGAATGAGAGAGAGGTGGGAAGGAGAGAACCACAAGACAGTGAGCTTTGTGCTTAGAGACTTTGTTTATTTAGAGGGTCAGGATTCAGTCTTGATATACAGACAGCCAGAGAGATTGAGGGTCGATCACACTCCTGAAAGAAGGAGCAGCTGTCAGGGTCTAAGGGGTCTGATCTGCCTCTGGGGCCTCAGTGGGCCGCTTTGGATCTTAAATGAGTGAGGAGCAGGGAGAGGAAGTTCAGGAGAAGTAGTAGGCAATGAGCCAGAAGGGGTCCTCAGTCAGTTTCGGAAGCACTGGTGTGGAGTGGATGAAGCCAGTGAGGACACAGTGGAGACAGTGGAGCACCAGAGAACCCAGGGCAAGGAAGCTGGGCAGACGGGCCCTTCACCAGTCAGGCCACCTGCAGTCTGCAGTCAGAGCCTCAGATCTTACACTGGCAGCACACGGGGACACAGCAGCTGGACTGGCAGCAGCAGGGCTTGTAGCAGCTGGATTGGCAGCAGGATGATCCACAGCCTGAGAAGCAGCTACAGGGCTTACAGCAGCTGGACTGGCAGCAGTAAGGCTTACAGCAGCTGGACTGGCAGCAGGATGACCCACAGCCTGAGGAGCAGCAGCAGGGCTTACAGCAGCTGCACTGGGAGCAGCCATAAGAACCACAGCCCCCCTTGGACCCCCCACAGGAGCCACAGCCCCCCTTGGACCCCCCACAGGAGCCACAGCCCCCCTTGGACCCCCCACAGGAGCCACAGGCCCCCTTGGACACCCCACAGGAGACACAGCCTCTCTTGGAGCCCCCGCAAGAGCCACAGCCCCCTTTGCCACAGCTGGAGCAGGAACAAGCTGGCACACAGCAGCACATGGGCTTGCAGCAGCAGACAGGCACACAGCAGCCGGAGCCACATCCCCCACAGCCCCCACAGCCGGAGCCACAGCCCCCACAGCCGGAGCCACAGCCTCCACAGCCGGAGCCACAGCCCCCACAGCCGGAGCCACGGCCTCCACAGCCGGAGCCACAGCCCCCACAGCCGGAGCCAAGGCCTCCACAGCCGGAGCCACAGCCTCCGGAGCAGCCACAGCAGCCCATGGTTCTGGTGGATTGAGGGTGGAGCAGGTAGAGGAGCAGGTGAGAGGGAGGTGCAGGTGTGGAGCCCCCTGAGCCCGGGCTCTTTATATCCCTGTCCAGGGTCAGGTGAGAGGCTGGGCACACTGTCACTTCCTGGTTCCTGCTTGTGCCACTGGTCCCAGTATTCTCTTCTGCTTTACATTTTTATAAATAACTCCTGTTTTCCTCGCACTTTTCTCGAATGTGCTGTCAGGTCTGTGATGGAAGCGGCCCCTCAGTAAACACTGGCCCCGCGGTGAGTTTCCCTTTCCATGTGACAAGAAGGAAGCGATGGGCAGGCAGTGGCTCGCTCAGAGGCCTTGGTCTTGCCGAGGGTGATTTTGAGCCCAGGACTCCTGGCTTGCTCCCGGGAAGATTCCTCTGCGGGAGCATCGTGTCTTGCTTGGGAAGTGCCTAGGCCCTACACCTTCACGGTCCACAGCAGCTCCTGGCCCGCGGGCTGTTTCCAAGGGTCCCAGGACCTGGGGCTTCAGCCCTCAGCTCAGCAGGGTCCTTTTCGGTGTAAGACTTTGTTGGAAGGTTTGCAGTGTTGACTGAGACGCGGATTTTAAGCGCTTATTCTGGAGCTTGCTGCGTGCTCCCCATGGAAAGTGTTCTCCTGTGATAACCGCGGTCTCTTCCAGGGCTTTCAGACCACTCGGGTGGCAGGGCTGACAGATACAGTACAGGATGCCTGCTGGAACTTGAATTTCAGATCATCGAAGGCTGCCTTTTGAGGAAGGAAATCCAAGCATTGCAAGGGGCAGACACTGCCTCTGCGCTGGGTCGGGACCCAGATCGCATTGTCTCCTGCAGCGGTTCCTCCTGCCGCCGCACGGTGTCGCTGTGAAGCGGGTTCCCCCACTGCGTGGCCGGCCCAGGGGCTCCCGGACAGCCGCACAGGCTGATGGCAGAGGCCCTTTCAGGGCCAGTGAGCGGAAGAGGATGCCCTGTCTGGGTGCCCGCCTGCTCCGGGTCCCGGGCTCAGCCTGGGAAGCAGCAACTGCATTCGGGTGCAGGCCCACTGGATGCTAAAGAAAGCCGGTGGAGAGCAGGGAACCGGATGGCCATTTGCCCCCGTGACCACAATACCTGTGAGTGCCCCGAGCCCAGTCAACAGGCCTCAGGCCACGGTGTAAACACCAGCTGGCACTCGGTGACTCTTGCCGTGTATGCTGGAGCCCCACTCTGTTCTGGGGCAGGGGACTGTATCTCAGGGAGGAACAGAAAACCCATTAGGAGAGAGCCGCCTTGTGTTGGCTGTCCCCACCAGAGGCGGCATCCTCCAGCTCTGGAACAGAGGCAACAGATACATTTGCTTCCTGATACATTCGCATCCAGCGCCTGATACATTCGCA
This sequence comes from Homo sapiens, assembly GCF_000001405.40. NCBI lineage: Eukaryota > Metazoa > Chordata > Mammalia > Primates > Hominidae > Homo > Homo sapiens. The sequence goes on along the minus strand of NT_187657.1, from coordinate 105,200 downwards.
TCCAGCGCCTGATACGTTCGCATCCAGCGCCTGATACATTCGCATCCAGCGCCTGATACATTCGCATCCAGCGCCTGATACATTCGCATCCAGTGCCTGATACATTTGCATCCAGCGCCTGATACATTTGTCCCAGTGCTTGATACATTTGCTTCCAGTACCTCGTATATTTGCCTCCAGCCCCTGAAGTAATGTATCAACACCCGCGCTGACTCCTAGTGACACCCTTGGATCAGCTCCTTCCCTCGGGTACAAGAGGACTTTTCCTTTTGTACTTTGGGAACATCTTCCCTTTCATGGGCCTTTGTTCTTCGTGGTCCATTGATGACCTTCGGGTTCGCTGAATTGGGCAAAGAGGATCATCAGAGGGCCTCTTACAATGCTCTGATGGAACAATCAACATGGCAGTGGTCTCACCCTGTCCCGTGGGGCACCCCACGATTATGTAGCTTTTGAGCAAATGCCCCCTGAAATGTGTGTATTATATAAGGTGCATATGCTCCTGTCTAGTCATTTGCTATTTTAATTTTAGTTAATTTTAATTTTTTTCACCTTTTCAGCGTAAAGCAGACATGAGTATGTTGTAGACTTTGCTCCTGTGCTCCACATTAGGAACTACCTCTGCAGACCCATTCTTAACTACTGTGGGTTCGTAGATTCCTCTGTGGAATTTTACAGAGCCTCTCTTTAAACAAGTCTACAAACATGCACAAAAACACACAACTTTACATAAAACTGTGCAGTATCCAGACAGGATCTGATGTCCACCTGTATCTGTAGGCTCCAGATCAAGAACCCAACAGAAAAGGGGGCACCAGGTAAGAGAGAGCTGGAAGGATTTCTCCTCCTAAAACGAGCTAGGCTGACCCCACAGATTTTCACTCCTCCACCACCTGAAACCACACTCAGATGAGAGGAAGTCTCAGGGGCGGTTTTTCCTGGGATAGTAAAGTGCTGGCTGATGCCGCACAGCAGAGAAGGCTCCAGCAGAAGGACTTGCAGAAGAAGCAACAAGGAGAAGGCCAGCAGCACAGTATGTTTCTCGCGACGAAGACGGCAGACAGCATGATGGCACGGGGCTTGGAGGCTAGGACATGAAGGGTGGTACAACACTTGCCTCTCTCTCTGTCTCTCTCTGTCTCTCTGTCTCTCTCTCTCTCTCTCTCTCAGTACTACTCCTTCTGGGTGAAGCCAGATCCTGTGCCAATAGCAGCCCTGTGGAGAGGCCTGCAGGTGAGAAGCTGAGGCCTCCCACCCACAAGCCAAGGCATGTACCATCCTGGAAGTGGGTCCAATACCAGCCGAGCCTTCAGGGGATGCAGCCTCAGACCCCCAGCCAGAACCACCCAGGAACATTTGGGGCCTGACAGAGAAGAATGAAAAGGGCTGTGTGTGGGTGCTCACATCTGCAATCCCAGCATTTTGGGAGGCTGAGGTGGGAGGATCACTTGAGCCCAGGAGTTTGAGACCAGTCTGGGTAACATAGTGATATCTCATCTCTACAAAAATGTACAAAAATTAGCTGGGCCTGTGAGCGCACACCTGTAGTCCCAGCTACTCGGGAGGCTGAGGTGGGAGGATTTCTTGAGCCCAGGAGGTCGAGGCTGCAGGGAGCTATGATTGCACCACTGCACTCCAGCCTGGGTGACAGAGCTTGACTCTGTCTCAAAAAAGAAAAAAAAGAAAAAAGAAAAAGGTAAGGCCAGTAAAACACAAGAAAATTTTAACTTCATTTCGTTATTAACAAATACACACAATTTCTGAATCAAATATTAAAGACTCCAATATGATTATTTAAAAATAGCAAGTCATAAGTAGGGTTTGTTCCAAGAATGTTAAGATGGCTCACCGTCAGGAAATGTATCATTGTAACTCATTACAAAAGTGCCTTGAGGGAGAGAATTCACACGTCCACCTCAGCAGGTGTAACAATTAGCTATGGCGTGCCTGACCATGAGCTGAGGGACAGAAGTGTCTTCTTCAAATTGATAATTTCCGGAAGGAAGTATGAGGTTCTCGTGAAGGTAAATGTGCTGTATATAAAGAAGAAATGAAGGGTAGGATGCTCATGACTCGCTGGGGGTACAGGAAGGAGGCGGATCTGAAACACTGGACGGCACTCAGGTTGACACAGGAGATGCTAGTCTGAGGGGAGCACCTGCCTCTGTGAGGGGCCAGGGGAAGATAGTGGCTGATCTCAGACTGCGTTAAACATGCATGTTAAAATGTTCACAGTCACCACTGGGGAAAAGTAGAAACAAAAACATCAGTGCAAACCAGCAGAAAAAGAGGAGAAAGGAAGAAAGAAGCTTCAGCAAGTCCATAGAAGCAAGAAAAGAGAATCTAAAAGCCTACGAAAAGGAAAATATAAAAATAAGAAAAGTATGGAAACAGTAGCACCCACGAGATGGTAGAGACAGTGCTGGCCCACGGGTGTGGTGAGGGGCCAGGATCGCCGCCCACCAGGGAGACAGCAGCCCAGCCACAATGCAGGGCCATTTTCAAGAGCACCCGAGGGCAGCAACCACCACCTTCTTTTGGCACGAGGAACCGGTTTTGTAGAGGAAAATTTTTCCACGGACCCAGGGGGTGGGTGGGGGCTGGTTTCAGGATGAAACTCTTCCATCTCAGATCATTAGGGATTAGTTAGATTCTCGTAAGGAGCACGCACCCTAGATCCCTCGCGTGCGCACTTGACAGTAGGGTTCTGGCTCCTATGAGAATCGAATGTGGCGGCTGAAGGGACGGGAGGTGCAGCTCAGGAGGTCATGCTTGCACGCCTTCCACTCACCTCCTGCTGTGTGGCCTGGTTCCTAACAGGCCATGGACTGTGGCCTGAGGGTTGGGGACCCCTGCCCTAGGTCACCGGGTCCTTCCATGGCTCTAACCCCCACCCACCTGGAGGTTGTGGAAGGGGCCTGAGGAGGTGGAGAGCAGAGATGTCATCAGGTTAATTTTTCTCTCTGGGAATGCAGGTGGGCTCCGTAACTCACCATCGCCCGTGTAGTTAATTACTCAATGTTGGTCTTCATTCTACTGTCCTCAGCCCTTCCTGCCTTGCCTATCCCTGCCTCACTCCTTTAATTGGAATGAATCCCAATTGTGTAGGGTCCATATGATTTTCCCGAGTCCCAGGTGCTGTCGTCTTAGATTTCTGCCATTTTGGAGGCTGTGTTCCTGTTTTCTTCTATTTGAAGGACGTTTTGTCACCATGTTCTTGGGTCATGTTTTGGTTTTGTCCTTTTTGGAGAAATTGATCCCCTATCTTTGGGTTTATGACCTCTCCGAGGAGCATCTAGGAGCAGCTAGCTATGAGCACCCTCCTCAGCCCTGACAGCCACGGCAGACTGGCCAGGGATTTGCAGAAGCGGCAATGTTGATTCAGCCTTTGGAGTTCTGTCACCAAACCACCACGGGCTCAGTACTCAGCATTCCGCCTTCATTCTTTCCTGGAGCATGTTACGCTCTTTGGGGCTAAACTTTCAGATCTTCCTGCGGGTCATGGTGCATTTTTCTGGCCTTTGAATCTGCTTTCTGCTCCATTTGTTAAAGCCTCCACTGCTTACACCGATGCTGCAGCTTTCCTGTCCTCCCCGTTCGCCAGCCTCTCTCTGGCTGATTCCACGGCTTTGTGCTTTAGCCACACTGTGAGCATCTCGCGCCCTTCTCGGATGCCAGCGACCCAAGTCCCAGCCACCTCCGTTCTGCCCCTCACTCTTCCTAATCACCGACTCGAACTGTAATGACTTCTGGTGCTCATTTATTCCCTGAGGCCTCCGCTCTTCCTTTTAAAACTTACTCTATAGGCCAGACGCAGAGGCTCACGCCTGTAATCCCAGCACTTTGGGAGGCCAAGGTGGGCGGATCACTTGAGCTCAGGAGTTTGAGAACAGCCTGGCCAACATGGTGAAACCCTGTCTCTACTAAAAAAAACAAAAATTAGTGGGGTGTGGTGGCACGTGCCTGTAATCTCAGCTACTTCAGAGGCTGAGGCAGGAGAATCAGTTGAACCTGGGAGGCAGAGTTTGCAGTGAGCTGAGATCACATCATTGCACTCCAGCCTGGGTGAAAGAGCAAAACTCCGTCTCAAAAAATAAACAAATAAACAAAATAAAACTTACTCTATAATTTTACCATCTCAACTGAGAGCCCTATTAAAGTTAGTATGCCATATTTGTAATTTGCTGCCATATTTGTTATTATTTGTTGCATAACTCAACCATTTGCAGGAAATCTACTTTTGTCTCCCGGATGACAAGTTTGCTTAGAAAGGTTTGTCTCCTTCCTTTCCTCCTCCTTTTGTTTTTTAAGGTTTGTTTTCATAGCTGTTACAGAATCTCATGTTACCTCTCTTGGGTTTGGCCAATCCTGTCTAGATCTTCTACCTATGTTGAAACAAAATGGGATGCTCCTGGTTCCCTTTACCCAGCACCTGAGGGCGGAGCTGCCAAGCTCTGGTGAGCACCTGGGGTGCGTGATGGTCTGCTCATGTCCAGTGCGGCCTCGCGCAGGGCTGGTGGGGGACAGCTTTGTTAGGATGCCTGGGCTCTGTGCTCACAATCCAGGTCTTATGAAGTGTCCCCATCCCAGCCTCACCGCGCCTAGTCGGGAGGCGTGAACTGTTGCCACACAGGGCTGCATCCTCTGACCCAGTGTGTTCCCTAGGAAGAAGCCATTTTCAGCACAGCAGGCACTTCCCTCTCTGTGGGTTTCTCTCAGTCCCCTGCCCCACAGCTCCCATTAGCAATGGGAACGACGGAACCTATAACCCCTCTCTCGCCTCTTCCAGATAAGACAAGGCCTTTATCCCAAGCTTGAAAGACATTCTTTTTTTTTTTTTTCTTTTTTTTTTTTTTGAGATGGAGTCTTGCTCTGTCGCCCAGGCTGGAGTGCAGTGGCACGATCTCGGCTCACTGCAAGCTCCGCCTGCCGGGTTCACGCCATTCTCCTGCCTCAGCCTCCCAAGGAGCTGGGACTACAGGCGTCTGCCACCACGCCCGGCTAATTTTTTTTTGTATTTTTAGTAGAGACGGGGTTTCACCATGTTAGCCAGGATGGTCTCGATCTCCTGACCTCGTGATCCGCCCGCCTGGGCCTCCCAAAGTGCTGGGATGACAGGCGTGAGCCAGCGCGCCCGGCTGAAAGACATTCATTTTTATACCATCTAATAATGTTGGCGAGGCTAAAAATGACAATTAAGACAAAGTGAGAATGGCTTTTAAAAACGTCAGAAATTAAACTCAAGTACATGCCTGTGGAAAAACAAAGTACACTGTTTGAACACAAGGGATTTGTTCTCTCAATATCCAAATAACTTTTAAAGCAGTAATGAGAAGTCAAAAAGGTATAAATTTTTTTTTTTTTTTTTTTGAGACGGAGTCTTGCTCTGTCGCCCAGGCTGGAGTGCAGTGGCATGATCTCGGCTCACTGCAAGCTCCACCTCCCAGGTTCACACCATTCTCCTGCCTCAGCCTCCTGAGTAGCTGGAACTACAGGCGCCCGCCACCACGCCCGGCTAACTTTTTGTACTTTTAGTAGAGACGGGGTTTCACCATGTTAGCCAGGATGTTCTCGATCTCCTGACCTCGTGATTCGCCCACCTTGGTCTCCCAAAGTGCTGGGATTATAGGTGTGAGCCACTGTGCCTGGCCAATAAAAAAGTATATAATTTATATTGGAGTAAAAGAATCACCCTCACTAATAGTTAATTGAAGAGATTAACAACAGGATGATAAATGAGATCCCCCATCCACCCATGAAATTCCTGAGATTTTTAACATAAACAATACTCACCACGTGAGGCTGTGTATGCAGCAGCCAGGAGTCCTGAGCACCCCACGACCTGAGGCTGGCGGAGGAGAGATTCACTGCAGTGCACCAATGTGTTAAGACAGAACCAAGATACAACGTTGGTTCCTCAATTAGCCTCTTTAATTATATGGATGAAAGCTTAGTTTTTAAAAAATTCTCTTCACACAAAGTTCACAGTTTCAAAGAAAAATATAATGCCATAGGTGGGAAGAAAAGATGGGAAGAAAACAACCAAAATGATCTTTGTAGAAAACCCATCCTCTGCCCATCACATGAGGAAAACAGAAGGCAGGTGATCAGTTCAGTACAAGGTCCAGTTCCAAGGAGGAAGTGGCTACATTTAGAAACATAAGCAGGTGGGTGTTGGATCAGGCCAATGAGAACCCGAAGTCCAGCAAACAAATAATCACATACCCAGGAAGTGCTGGGAATGATGGAGTGACCAAGGTCTCAGAGCAACCCTACCCAGGGATATAAGGGGGTCCAGGCTCAGGGGGCTCCACACCTGCACCTCCATCTCATCTGCTCCTCTACCTGCTCCACCCTCAATCCACCAGAACCATGGGCTGCTGTGGCTGCTCTGGAGGCTGTGGCTCCGGCTGTGGGGGCTGTGGCTCCGGCTGTGGGGGCTGTGGCTCTGGCTGTGGGGGCTGTGGTTCCGGCTGTGGGGGCTGTGGCTCCGGCTGTGGGGGCTGTGGCTCCAGCTGCTGTGTGCCCATCTGCTGCTGCAAACCTGTGTGCTGCTGTGTGCCAGCCTGTTCCTGCTCCAGCTGTGGCTCCTGTGGGGGCTCCAAGGGGGGCTATGGCTCTTGTGGGGGTTCCAAGGGGGGCTGTGTCTCCTGTGGGGGTTCCAAGGGGGGCTGTGGCTCCTGTGGGGGCTCCAAGGGGGGCTGTGGCTCCTGTGGGGGTTCCAAGGGGGGCTGTGGCTCCTGTGGGGGCTCCAAGGGGGGCTGTGTCTCCTGTGGGGGTTCCAAGGGGGGCTGTGGCTCCTGTGGGGGTTCCAAGGGGGGCTGTGTCTCCTGTGGGGGGTCCAAGGGGGGCTGTGGCTCCTGTGGGGGCTCCAAGGGGGGCTGTGGCTCCTGTGGGGGTTCCAAGGGGGGCTGTGGCTCCTGTGGGGGCTCCAAAGGAGGCTGTGGCTCTTGTGGCTGCTCCCAGTGCAGCTGCTGTAAGCCCTGCTGCTGCTCTTCAGGCTGTGGGTCATCCTGCTGCCAGTCCAGCTGCTGTAAGCCCTGCTGCTCCTCCTCAGGTTGTGGGTCATCCTGCTGCCAGTCCAGCTGCTGCAAGCCCTACTGCTGCCAGTCCAGCTGCTGTAAGCCCTGCTGCTCCTCCTCAGGTTGTGGGTCATCCTGCTGCCAGTCCAGTTGCTGCAATCCCTGCTGCTCCCAGTCTAGTTGCTGTGTCCCTGTGTGCTGCCAGTGTAAGATCTGAGGCTCTGGACTCAGGCCTCATGTGAGTCCTGCTAATCCTGTCTTCCAAAGCTGTGACCTGTCCTTCATTGTTGAGCCCCAAATCATTGCTCAGGGTCCATTCCCTGCTGTAGAACGATGCCATATCTGGCTGCCTTTTCCTAAGAAGAGTCCACCCTAATTAATGTCCATTGTCTCTCCTAACAAATTCTCTCCCCAAGTCAACTGCAATTGCAGCTGAATCACCCCTCACCCACTAGCCTCGCCTTTGCTCATCTTTTCAGAGGCCTGAGCTCCTGAACCCACTTGCAGTCCTGTCTTTTCCAGCTGGAGCAGCTGGGCATAAGCGTCCCACCTGCTACAAGGTGGGCGTTTAAGAGGCTTCCTTGGAGTGGCTTTGCATGTCCAACACTCTGCTGTATCTTTTTTTTTTTTTTTTTTTTTGAGATGGAGTCTCGCACTGTCACCCAGGCTGGAGTGCAGTGGCACCATCTCGGCTCACTGCAAGCTCCGCCTCCCGGGTTCACTCCATTCTCCTGCCTCAGCCTCCCCAGTAGCTGGGACTACAGGTGCCCGCCACCACGCCCGGCTAATTTTTTTTTTATTATTATTAGTAGAGACAGGGTTTCACCATGTTAACCAGGATCACACTGCTTTATCTTAAACAGAAAGTTGCAAACTAATAAAAATACCATGCCGACAAACTGAAACACATATCTTGCTGATTTCTCTGTTGTTCGGTGTCATTACTATGGCTATGGCTATTGTTTTCTTATTCTTGTTATATTTCGGACTCCGTGAGTCTGATGGTGATGTTGCTGGAAGGTGCTAGGATGGGGCTGGCTGTCTCCGCTGCCTCTCGTCCGTCTCAAAAAAAGAAAAAAAAAAAAGGTAAGAGTCAAACCTGGAGAAACTCTGTATAGACAGACTTGAAACAATCTGAACACCAATTTCTTAACTGGACTGATACACATCAAATATGTTTAAACTAGGAGTGAGTAATCATACACACACACATACATACACAAATAATAATAGAGATACTATGCAAACTGTAAAATTTAGTTGCCTTTAGAGGATTCTAGGAATCAAGTCATTATTTCGAAGATGACTATATAAAGGAAAATAATCAGGCACTTATTCTATCTCTGATAGAGAAACTCTATCTTACGGTAACCAAAAAATTAGAGGAAGTATTCCAGTTTATAAATAAAGAAGAAATCGTAGAATTAGAAGCTAACCATTTTGTAACCCCTAATGAAATAATGGGGCTATCAAATTTACTGCATGCAGCCAAATCAGTGCTTAGAGAAAAATTTATAGCCTTAAATGCATATGTTGGAGTAAAAAAAAAAAAAAAGCTTAAGCTCATTTAGGCAAAAACCTATCTATAGGACTGGCAGCATTGCCACACAGAGCCCAGAATGGGGTGGTAATTAGGGCTATTTGTAGGCATCCTGGTTCTCCTCTCCTTCTGGGAACAGGTTGGATGGCAGGTGGTAGGGTGGCCCTTCCATGAGCCCTCTCTAAGTCAGGTGTGGCCATGTGATTTGCTTGCGTCCGTGGGAAGAAGTTTGAAGCACCTGCTGCAGTCTTCTGCATTCTCCGTTTCTTCTCCTACCATGACCACCAACATTCCAAGCAGTGGCTGCTGCTTCCGACTGAGTCCCAGAGTGACGAAGCACAGAGCAGAGTCACCAGCTGACGTGCAGTGGCCTGGGATATGAACAGGAAGTAAGCCTGTGTCGTGTGAAGTCACTGAAACGTGGGGGTGGCGCGTGTGAGCAGCGTAATTGGTCTATCCTGGTTGACCCAGAAACCTACCAGAACAAAAACATAGCATTGTGGGCCTGGTTTATTGGTCAGAGGGTGGGTGGAAAGGAAAGTTATTAGAGGTGAGAAAGGTAGTTATTATGTGTTTGGTAAGACCGTCCCAGATCGTGTATCCCTGAGGGAAGAGTTCAGAAAACACAATGCCACTCCCACGTGGGTCGTTGTGGCTGCATTTATCAAAGCATTACAAGAACAGGGTGAGCTCGAAAGAACCGGCTGATTTGCCAGCCAGGAGGAAAGTTCTAGAAAGCCTGGAGAAACCTGGGGAGCTACAGAGTTCTCAGTTCTGCCTGGTAAATGGTAAGACTTAGAAGGCTTTTGAGCAGCAAAGAACAATTGAAGCTCAAATGAAAGGAATTTTTTTTTTTCTTTTTTTTATTTGAGACGGAGTCTCACTCTGTTGCCCAGGCTGGAGTGTAGTGGCACGATCTCGGCTCACTGCAAGCTCTGCCTCCCAGGTTCACACCATTCTCCTACCTCAGCCTCCCAAGTAGCTGGGACTACAGGCGCCCACCACCACGACTGGCTAATTTTTTTTTTTCTGTATTTTTAGTAGAGATGAGGTTTCACCGTGTTAGCCAGGATGGTCTCGATCTTCTGACCTCATGATCCGCCTGCCTCAGCCTCCCAAAGTCCTGGGATTACAGGCATGAGCCACCGTGCTCGGCTAAAAGGAACCCTTTTTAAGGGTACACTTTGATGAGGTTCCATGAGAACAGACCACACTGAGGTAGGGAGTTGGTAGCTGCCTCCAGCCTGGCCAGTGGGGCAGGAGGGGCTGCTGTGGGGTCAGTGGGTCCGGAAGAAGACGCCGGAAACTTCTCCCCCCATGGCTCACTTGGCGTTCTCTTTGCTTGGCCTGTGGCTCCTGTGGGTAAATTCATGTCCTGCTGTGTGATGAAGAGGTTTCTGCAGGGAAGAGGGGGAGGTGTTTGGCCCAGGCAGGACCCAGTGACCTGCAGATCAAAGATGGCCTCACTACCACGGTAATGGGCACCAGAGAAGAGCCTGCCGCCAGCCATTCGTTGGAAACAGGCCCAACAGAACCAATGCTGTCTGTGCTTGTGGTGTGGGGGTAGAAGAGAAAGAGAAAGAAACCCAAAACCTTCCTTAATAATGAACAGATGTCACATGATTGTTAGCAAGATTTAAGACATAGTTGTAACTCTCCATGAAATCAACAAAGAGAAAATCACGTGTTGGACATTTTATGCATAATTTTTTGATAAAATCATAGGATTGCCTGCTGCAACATCCTTCATTTCACAGTTGGCCGTGACAGAATGACGCTGAAGGGAGTCGCGTAGCAAAAACAACTGAGCTCCTTCTCATCCTTCACGGACGCCTCTCTTTGAGGTCAACTCACCCCATTGGGAAGCCTCTATCTTGCCTCCTTGACCAGCTTCTCTTTCAGGGTGAACCGCCTGATCTTCACCGTGGTGGCCTTGCCTGGCTCCCAGCAGATGTTCTCCAATGTCACTTTCAGTGACATCACAGAATCCTACGTTTCTTTTCTTGCAAGCATTGCAATTTTACTTAAAATCTGCATCGTAAATATGACTGTGGAAAATGTATTTAAGAGAGCTGGTTCTGCAAAGACATGAAAGACATTTGGGAGGGGGTGTGTGGGAATAAGTGATATTGTTAAGTAAACGAGCTGCTTGAGTGGAGAACACTTTTGGAAGTGGTCAGCTTGGCCCCATCTGTGCTAAAAATACAAAAAAAGAAAAAATTAGCCAGATGTGGTGGTGGGCGCCTGTAGTCCCAGCTACTCGGGAGGCTGAGGCAGGAGAATGGTGTTAACCCAGGAGGCGGAGCTTGCAGTGAGCCGAGATGGTGCCACTGCACTCCAGCCTGGGTGACAGAGCAAGACTCTGTCTCAAAAAAAAAAGAAGTAGTCAGCTTGGGCTTGGCTCACTCCTGTAATCCCAGTACTTTGGGAGGTTAAGGAAGAAGGAACACTTTAGCTCAGGAGTTCAAGACCAACCTGGGTGACATAGCAAGACCCCGTCTCTGCAGAAAAATGAAAGAATTAGCTGGGCATGGTGGTGCACACCTGCAGTCCCAGCTAATGGGGAGGCTAAGGTGGAAGAATCTCTTGAGCCTGGGAGGTTGAGGCTACAGTGAGTTATGATTGCACTGCTACACTCCAGCCTGGGTGACAGAGTGAGACCCTGTCTCAAATAAATAAAAAATAAATAAATAAATGACATTGTCAGCTTGTTTACTTGTTTGTGATTATTTTCTTTTTTACCTTCCTCTTCTTGTTTTTAATAGAGATAGAGTCTCACTGTGTTGCCCAGGCTGGTCTCGAACTCCTGGGCTCAAGGGATCCTCCTGCCTCAGTCTCTCGAGTAGCTGGTACTACAGGCATGCACCACTGCCACTAGTGAATATTTTGAAGGCCTGATGATTTACAATGAGCACAGGGAGACCCTGTATGGAGCCTAGAGATGTTGGCTGGTTGTGGAGTGGTCACCGAGGGAGCATCTTAGCATGAATCTCTGGTCAGAGTGATCGGGGAACCAGACTCAGTCTGGAAACAAGCAGGGGACACCTTCAGCTTACAGACAGCAGATTGTGGAGCTGCTCAACTTCCATAATTGCAGGGTCCAATTCTTCAGAATCATCTATGTATCTATCTATGTATCTATTTATCTATGTATCTATCGATCATCTAGGTATCTCTGTATCCATCTATGTAAGTATGTAAGTACCTATCTATGTATCTATGTATCCATCTATGTATGCATGTACGTATGTATCTATGTATCTATTTACGTATCTATCGATCATCTACGTATCTCTATATCCATCTATGTATGTATGTAAGTACCTATCTATGTATCCATCTATGTATGTATGTATCTATCTATGTATCTATGTATCCATCTATGTATGTATGTGTGTATGTATGTATGTCTGTATCTAGCTAGCTAGCTACGTATCTATGTATCCATGTATGTATCCATGTGTGTATCTATGTATCTATGTACCTATCTATCTATCTATCTATCTATGTAGGGACAGAGCCAGCCCAGTGCAGAGCCCTGGCTTCCTTTCTGTGCCACCAGCCACTCCACCTCAGTCTCCATTGCTTAATTCTCCTCCTCCAGGCCCTGAGCACTGGGCGGTGCCAGGTTCAGCCGGGGGGTCTCTATCTCACCTGCGACCTCCTCCATGTCTCTCACAACACCTTCCCCTCTAGGTTCCACACTCACAGGCCCAGGTGCCTGCTTCTCATGGACATCTGGCCTTTCAAACTAAGCACATCCCGGACTGAACTCCTCCTCCTTCCCCTGGAACCAACGCCTTCCCAGCCTTCCCCATTGTAGTTCACAGCAGCTCCATCCTTCCCAGGGCTCAGGATAGAAGCCTGGGCATCCTCTTGACTCCTCTTCCACCCTCCACATCCAATCCAACAGCAAATCTCCAAGGTTCTACCTTGGAAAAGTATTTGGAATCTGATTCGCCAATTGCCTAATTGGTGATTTATCCAATGACCGCCTTCACTGCCACCACCCGATATTGACAGCACCTCGTGCATTCCAGCTACTCTCCCACACACTTTATAAACATGACTCCCTGAGTATCTGTGAGGTATGCACTCTTTTTTCAATTTAACTTTTTATATTCGGGTGATTGTAGATTCACCTGCAGTTACTCATAAGAAGTTACTCGTAAGAAGTTACTCGTAAGAAGACACAAAGGGGATCTCATGTACCCTTTCCCATGTCCCCGGTGACAGCATCTGGAATGCAGGTAACATAACAACACAGTGATATTGACCTTGGCACGGTCACAATACAGATCATTTCTCTAGCAAGGACCCCACGCGTTGCCCTGATGCAGCCCCCACATTTCCCTCCTGTTCTCCATTTCTGTAATTTTGTCATTTCGAGAATGCTCCATGAATGGAAACACACAGTGTGTAACCTTTTAAGACTGGCTTTTCCTACCCAGCATGATTCTCTGGAGATTCATCTGGGTCATCGAGCGTCTGTCATTCCTGCCATTTCATGGCTGAGACGTGTCCCCTGGCAGAGGTGAACCAGTGTGTTTCCCCTTCACCCATCAAGGGACATGTGGGTGTCTCCAGCATTTGGTGATCATGAATAAGCCTCCTATTAACATTTGTGGACAGGTTTTCCGTGTGCACATGTCTCTGGGATAAATGCCCAGGAGTGAGATTGCTGTGTTGAATGGCGGTTGTGTGGTTAGTTTTTTTCATAAGCTGCCAACCTATCTTCCAGAGTGGCTGTACCATTTTGCATTCCCACCATCAACATACGAGTGGCCCAGCTTCTCTGCCTTTTGCCAGCATTTGGTGTCGCTGCTATTTTTTTGTTAAGCCATTCTCATAGGGGCATCATGATATCGCATTACTGGTTAGTTTGTCTTTCCTAAAGTCTGAGGATGTCAAACTTCCTCTCACATCCTTATTTGCCACTGTACGTCCTCTTCAGAGAATTGTCTCTTCAAGTCTTTTGCCCATTTTTGGATCGGATTGTTTTTGTGTTTATGTATGATTTGCTGTTGTGTTTTGAGAGTTCTTTACATGGTCTAGATTTGTATATTCCAGTCCTTTGTCAGATATGTGGTTTGTAAATATTTTGGTTAGGGTGCAAAGTTATTTTATTTATTATTTATTTACTATTATTTTTAGACAGGTTCTCACTTTGTTGCCCAGGCTGGAGTGCAGTGGTGCAATAATGGCTCACCGTCCCCTTGATCTTCCAGGCTCAAGTGATCCTCCCAACTCAGCCTCCCAAGTAGCTGGGACCACAGGTGCACATCAGTATGCCTTTTTTTTTTTTTTTGTAGAGATGGGGTCTCCCTAAGTTGCCTAGACTGGTCTCAAAATCCTGGACTCAAGTGATCCTCCCGACTTGGCCTCTTACAGTGTTGAGATTACAGGCATGAGCCACCATGCCTGTAAGCCAAAATTCTTTTTAATATACTGCTGAATTCTATTATGAATAGTATATTTTTCTTTTCCTCTGTCACAGCAACTGGCTGCCTGGGTTATGGAATAAGAGGCAGAGCCCCAGGTGTCTTGTGGTGGTGGGAGGTGTGGGTTGACTCAGCTACTGAGATCTTGGTGTGGTTTGTTGCTGCAGCACAACCCAGGCCATCCTGACTGACACTGGGTGACCGAGGGGCTGGAAAAGAAAACATGCCGAGAAAGGCAGTTTCCACACGAATACACAAAAATCTATACTGCATTAATCAGGGTTCTCCAGAGACACAGAACCAGTGGGAGATTAGGTACATAGGTAGATTAGATAGATAGATAGATGCATACATACATAGATAATAGATACATAAATGGATAGATAGATACAAAGATAGATAATAGACATATAGATACATAGATGGATATATATAGAGATACATAGATGATAGATAGATACATAGACACATAGATACATACATAGGTAGATACATACATAAATAAATAGATGATAGGTAGATAGATAGCTACATAGACAGATACATAGTTAGATAGCTACATAGATAGATACATACTTACATAGATACACAGATAGATACATGGATACATAGATACAAAGATAGATACATAGATGGATAGATACATATATAGATACATAGATGATAGATACATGCATAGATAAATAGATACATAGCTACATAGTTACATAGATAGATAGATAGATAGATAGATAGATAGATAGATAGATAGATAGATACATACATACATACACACAGAGAGAGATACACAGATACACAGATGATTATGAAGAATTGGCCCATGCGATTCTGGAGGCTGAGCAGCTCCATGATCTGCTGTCTGTAAGCTGAAGACCTAGGAAAGCCGGCGGGGTCATTCTGTTCAAGTCCAAAGGCCCGAGAACCAGGTAGCTGACGGTGTGAGTGTAAGTCCGAGGGCAGGAGACCGATGTGCCAGCTGGAGCGGTCAGGCAGAAAGGGACTTCCTCCACGTTTTGATCTATTCGGGCCCTCAGTGGATCAGAGGAAGCCACCCACATTGGGGAGGGCGTCTGCTTTCCTGAGTCCACTGATCCCAATGCTGGTCTCATCCAGAAACTGCCCTCACCGACCACCAAGAAATAACATTCAGCCAAATATCCGGGCACCCTGGGATCCAGCCAAATTGACACATAAAATTAACCATCACATATACCTGATTCAAGATTTTAAAACAGATGACAAAAGTTTTCAACTTTTACAGAAAAATATATCATGATCTCAGAGAAGTATTTCCTAAATAAGGCCCCAAATACTCTAATTCTAAAGGAAGAGGTGGGTGAATTGATAAGTTAAAATTAAACACTCAAGGATTCTCATTTAACAAGGGAAGGCCTCGCGAGAATGAAAAGATGAACCAAGGAGGATCTTGCAACATAAAAGCTGACCACACGATAGTTTGCTGAGTAAATGACGAGTAATGGGAGCAGCACACCAACATGGCACATGGATACATATGTAACAAACCTGCCCGTTGTGCACATGTACCCTAAAACTTAAAGTATAATAATAATAAAATAAAATAAAATAAAGCTGACCGTGGCTCAGCATTTGAAAACCCAAAGAGCTCACACCAATTAGCAAGCAAAGAAAACAACTAAACAGAGGAACCAACTCATAGACATCAGCAGGCATTTTATAAAAGAGGAAAGACAGGTCGGGCGCAGTGGCTCACACTTGTAATCCCAGCACTTTGGGAGGCCGAGGCGGGCAGATCACGAGGTCAGGAGATCGAGACCACGGTGAAACCCCGTCTCTACTAAAAATACAAAAAAAAAAAAAAAAAAATTAGCAGGGCGTGGTGGCGGGCGCCTATAGTCCCAGCTACTCAGAGAGGCTGAGGCAGGAGAATGGCGTGAACCCGGGAGGCGGAGCTTGCAGTGAGCCGAGATCGGGCCACTGCATCCAGCCTGGGTGACAGAGCGAGACTCCGTCTCAAAAAAAAAAAAAAAAAGAAAGAAAGAAAAGAAAAGAGGAAAGACAAAGACTTGGTGGGTGCAGTTACCTTTGTTCCCACGGGCTCCATAGTCTGGTGATGGGGGTGGGGGCTGGAGTGAGCAGGCATTTCCCAGTCTTAGAACTCCAGCTTCAGCCTTCAGCCTTCTCCAATTGCCCACATGGCACAGGGGCTCTCTCCAGGGTCTTTCCCGTGCCTCAGCTGTCTATTGCAACAGCAACGGGTTTTTTGGTATTTGAGATGATCAAGTTGGTTCTAAAATTTAGCTGGAGAAGTAAAGGAATTGGAAACAAACAAAACAATCTTTAAAAAGAAGAATGAAGTTGGAGTCTCACAATACTTAACTTCAAAACCTCCCATAATGTCACAGTGACGCTGTGTTTGCATTAGGAAGCGGCATACAGACCTGCGGAGCGGGACACAGGAAGAAACTCGCCATCGTGTCGGCTGATTCTCATTAAAAACACCAGTGATTTCAGTGGGATAAGCACGGTTTGTTTGTTTGTTTGTTTGTTTATATCGAGACAGAGTCTCACTCTGTCACCCAGGCTGGAGCGCAGTGCTGCAGTCTCGGCTCACCGCAGCCTCTACCTCCCGGGTTAAAGCGATTCTCCTGCCTCAGTCCCCTGAGTAGCTGGGATTACAGGCGCCCCCCACCATGTCTGGCTAATTTTTGTATTTTTGGTAGAGACAGGGTTTTGCCATGTTGGCCAGGCTGGTCTTGCACTCCTGACCTCAGGTGATCTGCCCTCCTTGGCCTCCCAAAGTGCTGGGATTCCAGGCGTGAGCCACTGCGCCTGGCCAGGAAGGTCTTTTTATCAAATGCTGCTGAAACAATTGGATGAAAATGTGAAAAAATGGATCTCAACTCCTACCTCACATTACACGCAAAAATTAGCTTGAGATCCATCATAGAACTAAATATAGAAACTAAAACTCTAATGCTTCTAAAGGAAATGCTAGGAAAAAGGGTTTTCAAAGAGGTCACAAGAAAGCACTAGCTGTCAAAACAAATGTTAACGTGGACTTCAAAATCAAAAACATTTCCATATAAAAAGTTCAGATAACAATAAGGCAAGTCAAATACTAGAAAATTATATACAATATATATATTCTACATATATATATTATATACACACATATACACATGTATATGAAATATATATGTAAATATATATACGTACATATGGCAAAGCACTTCACATATTCATTCTTGATATAGAATTTATGAAGAGTTCCAACAACTCAATAACAAAAAGACAAAAAAAATCACAATAAAATGGGCAAACAATTTTAGCAAAACTTTTTAACAAGAAAGATGTGCAAATGTCCAATAAGTGCAAGAAAGAATCCTTGCGAACATTAGTCATCAGAGAAACACAGGTCAAAATGCACACGAGATGCGATTTTACACCCATCCGATGCCTCACATTTGAAAAGCCGCTGGCTGGTACTGACAGGCCTGGGGCAGCGGACACTCTCAGGCATTGCTGGGGAGGGGGAAAGCAGCATGAGCATTTGGAAAGCTGTCTGTTTCTTAGCAAGTTAAGCATACACTACTCTATGGTCTAGCAAGGCCAGTCCTCAATATTTGACCAAAAAATTAAAACTAAAAACATGAATACGGAAGGACTGGAAGGCATGATTATGTGTTATTCATCATCGCCCCAAACTGTGAACGATTCAAATATCTATGAACGTGAGAACGGGGGAACGCAGTGGAGAATATTTTTACATGGAATAAGGGGGGCACCACCCCTCATATTTTCTTATGCCCAATTTCTGTCTCCAAAGAAAAAAGAAGTAAAAACTAAATCCACAGGCAGACAGCCCGGTGCCACACCCTGGGCCTGGTAGTTAAAGATTGACCCCTGACCTAATCGGTTATATTATCTATAGATTCCAGACATTGTATGGAAAAGCATTGTGAAAATCCCTGTCCTGTCCTGTTCCGTTCTGATTGCCGGTGCATGCAGCCCCCAGTCACGTACCCCCTGCTTGCTCAATCGATCACGACCCTCTCACACAGACCCCCTTAGAGTTGTAAGCCCTTAAAAGGGACAGGAATTGCTCACTTGGGGAGCTTGGTTTTTGGAGACCTGAGTCTGCCAATGCTCCCAGCTGAATAAAGCCCTTTCCTTCTACAATTCAGTGTCTGAGGGGTTCTTGTCTGCGGCTCGCCCTGCTACAGAAACACTATGCGGTGATTACAAAAGAAGAAGAAGGCCAGGCGTGGTGGCTCATGCCTGTAATCCCAGCACATTGGGAGGCTGGGGCAGGTGGATCGCTTGAGCCCAGGAGGTCGAGGCTGCAGTGAGCCATGAGCGCACCACTCTGCACTCCAGCCTGGGTGACAGAGCAAGACCCAGTCTCAAAAAAAAAAAAAAAAAAAAAAAAAGAAGAAGAGCAAATCATTGACACACAGAATAACATCGTGAGGGAAAGAAACCAGAGTACATTTTTAATGATTTCATTTTTGCAACATTCAACAACAGGCACAACTGGTCAGCAGAGCTGTGCCTGGAGCGATGGGCAGGAAGGGAAGGCGGCGAAAGGGAACCTTCTGGGGGTGAAGCAGTTGGTCATGGTTGGAGTGATGGGCACACGAGTACATGTTTAGCGGAACTCATGGAATTGTACACTCAAAATATGTGCAGAGCCCAGGAGACCAAGGCTGCAGTGAGCTAGGATCACACCACTGCCCTCCAGCCCGGGCGACAGAATGCGACCCCGTCTCAAAAAAAAAAAAAAAAAAAATGCAGCCCAAGCCTGGTGGCTCATGCCTGTAATCCCAACACTTTGGGAGGCCAAGGCAGGTGGATCACCTGAGGTCAGGGGTTCGAGACCAGCCTGGCGAACATAGTGAAACCCCGTCTCTACTAAAAATACAAAATTAGCTGGGTGTGGTGGTGGGTGCCTGTAATCCCAGCTACTTGGGAGGCTGAGGCAGGAGAATTGCTTGAACTCGGGAGGCAGAGGTTGTAGTGAGCTGAAATTGCATCACTGCACTCCAGCCTGGGTGACAGAGGGAGACTCAGAAAAAAAATTTTTTTTCACTGCATGTAAATTTTACCTTAATAAAAAATTAAAATTTGGCTGGGTGCAGTGGCTCACACCTGTAATCCCAGCACTTTGGGAGACTGAGGCGGGTGGTTCACCTGAGGTCAGGAGTTCGAAACCAGCCTGCCCAACATGGTGAAACTCTGTCTTCACTAAAAATACAAAAAAATTAGCCAGGCCTGGTGGTGGGCGCCTGTAATTCCAGCTACTGGGGAGGCTGAGGCAGGAAAATTGCTTGAACCCAGGAGGCAGAGATTGCAGTGAGCCGAGATTGCGTCACTGCACTTTAGCCCTGGTGACAAGAGCGATACTCCTTCTCAAAAAAAAAATATTAAAATTAATCTTTTAGAAAATAAAAGTGTGTTAGAGAGGTTGGCTAATCAAAATTTTTGTAGCCTTCAAGAAGAATAAACTTGAAGAATATCCATTGATTTGTAGAATTTTTACAAAGAATTAATTGAGGAAAACTCAAAAGCATTAGAAAGGGTCCTGTTCCTCTGTTCCCTCTGTGAGCCCAGCTTGCCTGAAGGGAACGTGGGTCTAATCCGTGTCTGGAGGAGTGAGCCAAACCGCAGGAGGAAGAGGTAAGAAAGACAAAGGAGAACCAGGGCCACACTCAAATCCATGCTCTTCAAAACTTTGTTTTACAGATTTGACAAAATATTTATACTTGAAGTTTTTAAGCGGTGGAACCTATAGACAGCCTTTCTTTCAGCTTATTTTTTTAATTTTTATTTTATTTTATTTTTTACCAAATGACCATCCTTGATATAAACACCAATGCCAGGGGGTGGAGGGTCTGCATCGCTGAGGAGAGCCCTGAGCACCAAGGACAATGGTCCACCCTTCGGCCAAGCAACCACCGCCTCCCAGGCTCCTGGGACACCCACTGGAGAGGGAGCCCAGTGTCTTCTAACAAAGGGAAACACCTATGAGGAAGAGGCCAAATTTAGAAACCAAGGAAAGGACAGCTTGGCTTGAGCTGATGGTGGCTCATGGGATTGTGGAGAGATTAAAAATAACACTTGTGCATGTGAAATAGCAGAAACAACAACAGAAGTATTCACGTGTTCAGTATAAACACCTGGGCAGGAATATAAAGAGCCCGGGCTCAGAGAACTCCAAACCTGCACACCTCCCTCTCACCTGCTCCTCTACCTGCTCCACCCTCAACCCACCAGAACCATGGGCTGCTCTGGCTGCTCTGGAGGCTGTGGCTCCAGCTGTGGGGGCTGTGGCTCCAGCTGTGGGGGCTGTGGCTCCGGCTATGGGGGCTGTGGCTCCGGCTGCTGTGTACCTGTCTGCTGCTGCAAGCCCGTGTGCTGCTGTGTGCCAGCCTGTTCCTGCTCCAGCTGTGGCTCCTGTGGGGGCTCCAAGGGGGTCTGTGGCTCTTGTGGGGGCTGCAAGGGGGGCTGTGGCTCCTGTGGAGGCTCCAAGGGGGGCTGTGGCTCCAGCTGCTGTGTGCCCGTCTGCTGCTCCTCCAGCTGTGGCTCCTGTGGGGGTTCCAAGGGGGTCTGTGGATTTCGTGGGGGCTCCAAGGGGGGCTGCGGTTCTTGTGGCTGCTCCCAGTGCAGCTGCTATAAGCCCTGCTGCTGCTCCTCAGGCTGTGGGTCATCCTGCTGCCAGTCCAGCTGCTGCAAGCCCAGCTGCTCCCAGTCCAGCTGCTGTAAGCCCTGCTGTTCCCAGTCCAGCTGCTGTAAGCCCTGCTGCTGCTCCTCAGGCTGTGGGTCATCCTGCTGCCAGTCCAGCTGCTGCAAACCCTGCTGTTCCCAGTCCAGCTGCTGTAAGCCCTGCTGCTGCTCCTCAGGCTGTGGGTCATCCTGCTGCCAGTCCAGCTGCTGCAAGCCCTGCTCCTCCCAGTCCAGCTGCTGTGTCCCAATTTGCTGCCAGTGCAAGATCTGAGGCTCTGCCCACAAACCTCAGTGGGTCCTACAGATCCGGGCTCTCCAGGAATGACTGCAGCTGTGTCCTGAATTCCTGAAGCACGTCTCTGAATCTGTCCTCCTCTGGACTAAGGCAGCCTAGCGTCCAGGGCTCAGTACTCAGCCGCTCAGCCTCTGAGGTCATGAGGGCTTCTGGCATGCTGGGTCCTGCCCATCAACCCTCCCGGAATCCCGTCTTCCTTTCCTGACCCCACCACTTCAACCTTCTCAGGGCTTCAAGATCCCACATCCCTGGGCCCCTCCTGTGAGCCTGCTGGAAACACGCTGACACTGGAATCCTCCGACCTGCTGCCGCCTCTCCCCGGTCCCCGCAACCTCCTGGCTCCTCCCCGCTTCGTCTTCATCCTGCCTGAGCTGCCACCGCTCCGATTGCTTTTGGAGTTGACCTAGAGGACTCGGAATTATTGGAGACCCCAGGATCCTCTCCTGAGGAGGAGGGGCGCCCAGTCTCCTCTTCTACCTCCGACCTGGCCCTGTTTCTTTCCCCAGGGCTTCGCCTTGTAAGTGCCTAGGCTAGATCTTCTAAATAAATACGATCTGCACCTCCCACGAGTTTGCATTGTGATTCTTTTGTTTCAACTTCTGTGTGATTAGAGAAATGTACACTTTCCACAGAGTTGCACTCCCAGGCATTTGGGAACCCCCCGTACCCTGCTGTGTGAGTTTGCTAGGGCTGCTCCACAAACCGTGTGGCTTAAGCAACAGGAGTGGATTGTCTCACAGTCTGGAGTCCGGAATCCGCCATCGAGGTGCCTCAGGGCCGGGTCCTCCTGAGGCCTCCCTCCGTGGCTTACTGATGCCGCCATCCCTATATCCTCACGTACTCATCCCTCTGTGTGTGTCTGCGTCCTCATCTCTTTGCATAAGGACACAGATTAGACTAGGGCCCACCCTACTCCATTAGGTCCATGTTTGAACTAATCACCCCTGTAAAGACCTATCTTCAAATAAGGTGCCATTCTGAGATACTGCGTTGAGGACTCCAACATATGAACCAGGGGGCACAACTCAGCCGTGGCATCCACTTGGCTTGGGGCGTCTCCGTCTTTCCCATCTTCCAGGATACAGAATTGGGAGGCCCCTTGGGCTTCTCTCCCCCACAAGTCGCCAAATCCCTCAGCATCTCCTGGAAGGCTTCCTACAGACATCTATTTCCTGCCTCCTTGTGACACCTCCCTACACAGACTTCTGATTCAGGTGCCCACCTGTCCCTTCCCTGCTGCCTCTGTCAGCTGGGGCTGCCAGAACAAAACCCACAGAGTAAGCCTGGAAGACGGAACAACAGACACCATTTCTCCCAGTTCCGGAGGCTGGAGGGCCTAGACCAAAGTCCAGCATGTTCGACTCATGGGGAGGGAAGGCAGGAGCTGGCGGAGGAGGAGGTGGGCTGCAAGGCTGGAGCCCCCAGACCCAGGCGTCTGTAACAGCAGAGCGCTGGAGGCTGCTCGGGAAGCCACCGTCTCACAGGATGGTAGGCAGTGAGTGCCTGGCGGAACTGCGACAAGAAAGTGAAAACTCAACAACACGGAAGTTTCAGAAATTGCTTCTGAGTTTCTGTTTCGGTAGTAAGGTTGACTAGACACTATTCACAACCCTGAAACTTCTAAAAGGACATGGTGAAACCCCGTCTCCACTAAAAATACAAAAATTAGCCAGGCATGGTGGTGGGCGCCTGTATCCCAGCTACTTGGGAGGCTGACGAAAGAGAATTGCTTGAACCCAGGAGGCGGAGGTTGCAGCGAGCCTAGATCGCACCACTGCATTCCAGCCTGGGCGACAGAGCTAGACTCTTTCTCTAAATAAATAAATAAATAAATACATAAGTAAGTAAATAAATAAAGCTTTAAAGTGCTATGTTTAAAGCATATATATATTTTTTAAGTCACTGAGCTGTTGAAAAACTAAATAATCCTCAGAGCCAACAAGCAAGAGAGAGCTGGACCCACAGAGGAAGGTGAAAGTCAAAAACGGCCTCCACCCCATGGCTGGACCAGAAAGAGGCCCTGTCTGTTTTCTTCCACCTGTGTTATTGGAAAAAAATATTTGACAAGGAAACATACACCAAACCCAGCTCTTTTGTTTAAAAGCCAATTGCAAAAACACAGAACGAGTGACCTGGTTTAATGGTGGCTAAGAACAGTAGAAAAAGGGCCTGGTCTATCTGAGTTAAATTTGAGCTCAGGATGAGGCTAGGGTGTGGTGTTGCTGCCGAAATCCACTCTGTGGTCTGAGGGTGGATTCGTAGCCACACGGTGTCCAACTCAGGGGTGAATGAGCCCCTCCCCATCAGCCCATGCTAGTTCCTTTAATGGACTTTTTTTTCAGAGCAGTTTTAGGTTCACAGCAAAATTGAGAGGAGTGGGCCACAACATCCCCCGTGCTCTACAATGAGAGCACTTCCTCAGAGCCCAAGACAGTGGGCCACTCTCTGGGGGTCCCCAGGGGCTCAGGGTGTGGCTGGCCTGTCCCCAGCTCAGGAGAGACCAGGAGTTGTCTAACAGTTCCTTCATTGGAAGTCTCTGTGGATGCCTCCCACGGACCTGAATGTTGAGGGCCCATGATTTCTACAGTACATTGAGGAGCCGGGATGCAGGGCCCCTATTTCCTCTATGTGTGCCCTGGACACCCCAGGCACAGGGGACAGGCCTGGCCCTGCAACCCCACCAGGGTCCTGACACCAGGCTTGGCCTGGCCTTGTGATGAGCAAGAGAAGAGGCAGGTCCAGAGACACCTCCTGCACGGGATCGCCTGCTTCCGACCCCCATGACAGGCAGTGGCCAGCATGGTGTGGAAGGGGCCAGGATGGCACACGGCAGGCTGCCCTGTAGCCCCAGATGGCTCCTGGCCTCAGGAAATTAATATCCACTGGAAAACTCATCACTTGGAGGCTGCCAGAGGGAAGGGTGAGTGTCACGTTCCTGCAGCCATGGCCAGCCAGCAGCATGCCCTGTGGCCTCTGGCCCAACCTGTGGGACAGGGACCCCAGACAGGGCACAAGTCCCAGTCCCAGAGGGTCCTGGCCTGATGCTAACCCAAGCCCTGTCAAGGGAAGGGCATCAGGGGCGCCATGGGCACCCAGCAGCAGCCAGGAGGATCACACAGGGGACTGAGCCTTCTGTGGCAGTGGCCGGACCCAGAACTTAGCCAAAAGCAGGGCAAGCCTCCTGGATCAGAGCGGGTGCTGCTGCCTGTGCATGCCCAGCAAGGCTGAGCCAGTGATGCTACCAGGGTCCATGAGGCAAGGGTGGGGCAGGAGCAGGCTGACCAGCCGCCAACCTCGTCCACTCCAGGAGGCAGGGATGGCCAAGCTCCCACGCCCTCGTGGCCGCCACCTGACCACCGATGGGGCAGAGGCCTGAGGCCAAGCAGTCAGTGCTGGGGCCCTGCTTCCAAGGTCTACAAACTGCTCCAGTCCGGAGGGCCAAAGATAATTGGGCACGTGAGGGCCCAGGAGGTCAGTTCCCTACGTCTGCCATCCTTGGCAGGTGCATTTCGTGGTCAGAAAAAGTCAAGAAAGGTGACACCTCTCAGGTGTTATTATGAAGGACTCTCCCAAGACACATCTTTTTTTACATTTATTTTTATTGTACATATTCATGGTGGACAACATGGTGCTGTGGTAAACATGTACACTACTGAAATGATGGCTGCAATTAATATCTCCAACACCTTCCATGGTTCCTTTTTGTATGTGTGTGTATAAGTGTGTGTGCATGGGTGTGTTTGGATAAGTGTGTGTATGAGTGTGTATGCATGTGTATGAGTGTGTGTGTTTGATTATGTGTGTATGAGTGTGTGTAAGGTGTGTTTTTAATTGTGTGTGAGACTGTGTGTATGTATGTATGTGTATGAGGGTGAGTGTGTGTGTGTATGTGTGTGTATGAGGGTAAGTATGTGTGTACGATGTTAGTGTGTGTGTATGTGTGTGTGGTAGGAGCACCTGGAGTCTTCTCTCAGCACACCTGCCACACACAACACCTGACTGTCACCTGTAGTCCTTGCACTGTGCACTGGACTGCTCGGCTCCCTCTCCTACACAACCGCAAGCCCTTGACCTCCTCCTCCCCCTTTCCTTCTTCCTCCAGACCCTGGTAACTACTGTTCTATTCTATGTTTCTATGTATTTGACTTTTTCAAAATGTGGAATATATGCATACATCTATACGTGTATATATGGAATATTCTTCAGCTTTCAAAAGAAGGAGATCTGGTTACTTACAACAACATGTACAAATCTGGAGGACATTACACAGGGTGAAAAGAGGCAGACACAGAAAGACAGACATCACATGCTCTCCCTCACACATGGAGTCTACAGGAGTGAAACTCACAGAAGCACAGAGTGCAAGCATGGGAACCAGAGGCAGGGAAAGGGGAAATGAGGAGGTGCTGGCCCAGGGGTCCAAAGCTTCAGTTCTTCAAGATAAATAAGGCTTGGAGACCCAATGCATAGCAAAGTGACCACAGGTAACAACACGGTGTTTATTATGTACTTAAAACGTACTGAGAGGGTAGATCCTAAATGTTCTCACCACCAAGAAAAGAGAGAGAGAGAGAGAGAGCTATGTGAAGTGGCAGATGTCTTAATTATCTTGACTGTGGTGATTATTTCACAATGTAGACATATATGAGATCATCGAATTGTATGTCTTAAATATACACAATTAAAAAACAATAAAAGCCACCCCCAGTGCCAGGCCCCACAGGCACCCCCACCCAACCCTCCTACTTGCACATACAATGTATAAAAAATAGATGCGCATACACAATTGGGTATTGCTACCAATTCGGATTTTATTATCCACATTTCTTTGCAACTTAATTCTTTTCACTAGAACTTGTATCATGGTTGCCTCTCCTAGGAAGTAGATCTGGGTATAAGTCTATGTTTCTTTACGCGCATGCGTATTCATATATGTGGAGTTTTTCCACAAGTAGGATCACACATACTGGACTCACTTTTCACTGTCATTTTCTTTTTGTTGATTCCTACACACCTTCCCCACTCCACCCAGCCACTGTCCTACGTACCCCAGGCACACACTCAACATATGTGTAAAAGATATTTTTATTGCTTGCTACTAAAATAGGATCCTACAGGGCTCATTTCTCTGCATCTACATTTCACACTAGCCAGAGCCTTGAGGAAATTTCTCCAAGTCCACTGGTACAGGTGTAATCTTATTTTTTAGTGGGTATGACTTTTAGTATTAATTTTCAATTTGCTAGGATTCTTTTTCTGACACTGTAAATAATAGATCATACACATATATGTATACACGAATATGTTTACGTTTAATCTTTTTTCAGTAATTTCAAGACTAATTGTATTGATATGACCTAATTTTATTAGATATTGTTTTCAAAAAAACTGTAATAAATTGTATCCCCAGAACAATGTATGAGTACCTTTTCCCCCAATTTCACTAGCAATAGGTGTTATTATTCTTGTTAATTTTGGTCAGTCTAGTAGATATAAAATGTTGCAGGTAGCCACTAACTGAGTCCACTAGCGTGGGCAGAAAAGGAATTTACCAAGACAGTTGTAGGTAAGGAAAGGCAGATTTATTAGAGAATGTAGGAAAATACGTTGCAAGAATGGAAAGGGCAGGTCAGCAAGGGAGGAGCTGGCTGCCAGGAGACAAAGGCTTGCTGGGGATTTTATAGGATGGTGCTTGTGCCGGAGAGGGTTACATGCAGTGCTGATAATGCCAAGGTTTCAGTGAGCTAATTTGCATTTTTCTATCAACTGAGGTCATAAGTTGAGTGCAGGAAGATTGTGAGTTATGTGAGTTATTTGCATAGGAGGGCTAAGTCCTGCACCAGGAAGAAAGGCAGACTTGTAGTTCATCTGCCTTCTCTTTTTGCTTTCCCTTGGTCCAACCAACCTGGCTCCTTTTCCATCATTAGGACTCCACAGAAAAGATCCCGTGTATCTGACTACCAGTGAGTCTGATTTACTTTTTATATTTTTAATTGCACACTTCCATTTGTTTATCAGAGAATCATCTTTTTAAAAACTTGGTTGTTTGTATTCTACTTGTCAATTTGTAAGAGCTACTAATGTTTTATAGATTTTTTTTTTGAGACAGGGTCTCGCTCGGTTGTTGGAGTGCAGTGGCACAATGTCAGCTTACTACAACCTCTGCCTCCTTGGTTCAAGCAATTCTTCCACCTCAGCCTCCCAAGTAGCTGTGATTACAGGCATGCACCACCGTGCCCAGCTAGTTTTTATATTTTTAGTAGAGATGAGGTTTCACCATGTTGGCCTGGCTGGTCTTGAACTCTTGGCCTCATGTGATCCACCTGCCTTGGGCTCCCAAATTGCTGGGATTATAGGCATGAGCCATCGTGCTCGGCCAGTGTTTTATAGATTATAGAGCTAATAAATGAATCCAGCAAGTTTTCAGAATACAGGACCAATATATAAAAATCAATTGTATTTCTACTCACTTGCAACTCTGAAAGTGACAAAACACTGTTGAAAGAAACTAAAGAAGATCTAAAACATCCCAGATTTGTTGTGGACTGAATATTCATGTTCTTTCAAATTCATATGTTGAATCCATCACTCCCATTGTGGTTGTATATGGAGACGAGTTCTCCAAGGAAGAAATTAAGGTTACGTAAGGTCATAAGGGCTTCCACAGGATTTGCATCTTCATAAGAAGAGACACCAGGGAGCATTTGCCTCTGTCTCACTCTCTCTTTCTCTCTCTCTCTCTCTCTCTCTCTCTCTCTCTCTCTCTTCCTCCCTCCAACTCTTTCTCTCTCCACACACAAAGGAAAGGCCATGTGAGCAAAGAGTGGGAAAGCGGCCATCTGCAACCAAAGGAGAGAGCCCTCACCAGAAACTAAAGTTGCTTGCACCCGATCTTGGACTTCTGAATTGTGAGAAAATAAATGCCTGTTGTTGGGCCACCAAATCCGTGGTATTTTGTTATGGCAGCCCAAAAGCAGACTGATGTTCATGTATCAGGAGACTTAACATTTTTCAGATGGCAATACCCCCAAAATTGATCTACAGAGTCTATGCAATCTCTATCAGGAAAGCAGCTGGCTTCTTTGTAGAAATTCACAGGCTGATTTTAAAGTTCATGTGGAATCTCAAGGGACCCGGAATAGCTAAAACAAGGTTAAAAAGAAGAACAATGTTGGAGGGCTCACACTTGCCAATTTGAAAACTTACTACAAAGCTGCAGTCATCAGGGCAGTTTAGCACTGTTGTTAGAATAAATGTATAAACCAGTGGAATAGAATTGAGAGCCAGAAATAAACCCTCATGTAGATGACCAACTGATTTTTGACAGGGTGCCAGATCATTCAATGGAGGAAGAGCAGTACTTCAACAAATGATGCTGGGAAACTAGACATCCACATGCACAGGAATGAGCTGGACCCCTACTTCACACCACATACACTAATTAATTTAAAATGGGTCAAAAGGCCTACATTTAAGAGTCAAATCTATAAAACTATTAAAAGAAAACATGACCTTGGATTCGGTGTGGATTCATAGATAGGACACCAAAAGCACCAGCAACAAAAGAGAAATACAAATACATTGGATGCCATCAAAAGTTAAATATTTTTGCACCAAAGGACGCTATCAACAAAGTGAAAGAACAGTCTACATAATAAAGGAAGAAAAGATTTACAAATCAGATATCTGATAAGCATCTAGTATCTAGAGTATATAAAGAACTTTTTCTTCAACTTTTATTTTAGAATCAGGCAGTACATGTGCAGGTTTTTCACATGGGTATATTGTGTGATGCTGAGGTTTGGAGTATGAATGAATCCATCACCAAAATAGTGACTGTGGTACCCAGTAGTTTTTCAGTCCTTGCCCCCTTGCTCTCTCCTCTTGTTCCCCAGTATTCAGCCTTTGCCCCCTCCCTCCCTTCCTCCCTCCTCTTGTTCCCCAGTGTCTATGGTTTTCATCTTTATGTCCATGTGGACTCAAAGTTTAGCTCTCACTTATAAGTGAGAATATGTGGTATTTGGTTTTCTGCTTCTGCATTAGTTCCCTTAGGATAACGGCCTCCAGCTTCATCCATACTGCTGCAAAAGATATGACTTCATTCTTTTTTGCAGCTGTGTAGTATTCCATGGTGTATATGTACCACATTTTCTTTATCCAATCCACCATTGATGGGCACCTGGGTTGATTCCACATCTTTGCTTTTGTGAATAGCACTGCAATTAACATATGGATGCATGTGTCTTTTTGGTAGATTGATTTATTTTCCTTTGGGTATATACCCAATCATGAGATTGCTGGGTCAAATAGTAGTTCAATTCTTAGCTCTTTGAGAAATCTCCAAACTGCTCTCCGTGGTGGCTGAATTCATTTACATTCCCACCGACAGTGTACAAGTGTTCCCTTCTCTCTCAAGCTTTGCCAGCATCTGATTTTAGGTTTTTTTGTTTTGTTTTGTTTTTTACTTTTTATCAAAAGCCATTCTGACTGATATGAGATGGTATCTCGTGGTGGTTTCGATTTACATTCCCCGAATAGTTAGTGATGTGGAGCATTTTTTCATATAGTTGTTGGCCAGTGTTGAAGGAGGGGCCTGCAGGGAGGTGTCTGGGTCATGGGGGTGGATCCCTCATGAGTGACTTAGTGCCACCCCCTTGGCGATGAGTGTGTTCACTCAGATCTGGTTGTTCACAAGTGTGTGGCTCCTCCTCACCCCTTGCTCCCACTCTCACCATGTGGTGTGCCTGTTCCTGCTTCGCCTTCCACCGTGAGGAAAACTCCCTGAGGGCCTCCCCAGAAGCTGAGCAGAGGTGGGTGCCATGCTTGTGCAGCCTGCAGAACCATGAGCCATTCTAACCTCTTTCCTTTATAAATTACCCAGCCTCAAGTATTTCTTTAGAGCAATGCAAAGAATGGTCTAACACACCCGGAAAGCTGAGACTGGCATGAGTATAAAGATCGTGGATAATTTTGAAATCTAAAAATGTAAAATTAATATTATTGAGGGAGTCAACACAGGAAAGATTAGAGCACGTGGGCAGAGGCTGTTGCCCATTGGTCACATGTGGTCAGCAGAGAGCAGGTGACCAGCACCCTGGAGCTTTGCAGGAAGAACCAGACAGCCTGGAGCTGAGGTTTTAATTGTAGGGGCCAAAACAAATGGGGAAAAAGACAAATTTAGAAAACAAAGAAAGTAGATGCTCAACTGAGCCAGAAGGAAGTCACTAGCAAAGAGGAAAAAAATAGAGCTCTGGAAAAATAGTGTAAACAGTCACAAGAAAGGGACCCTGTGTCATGCCTGACATCTGGACAGGTATATAAAGAGCCCAGGCTCAGGGAGCTCCACACCTGCACCTCCCTCTCACCTGCTCCTCTACCTGCTCCACCCTCAATCCACCAGAACCATGGGCTGCTGTGGCTGCTCCAGAGGCTGTGGCTCCGGCTGTGGGGGCTGTGGCTCCAGCTGTGGGGGTTGTGGCTCTGGCTGTGGGGGCTGTGGCTCCGGCCGTGGGGGCTGTGGCTCTGGCTGTGGGGGCTGCAGCTCCAGCTGTGGGGGATGTGGCTCCAGATGTTATGTGCCTGTCTGCTGCTGCAAGCCCGTGTGCTCCTGGGTGCCAGCCTGTTCCTGCACCAGCTGTGGCTCCTGTGGGGGCTCCAAGGGGGGCTGTGGCTCCTGTGGGGGCTCCAAGGGGGGCTGTGGCTCCTGTGGGGGTTCCAAGGGGGGCTGTGGTTCTTGTGGCTGCTCCCAGTCCAGCTGTTGTAAGCCCTGTTGCTGCTCCTCAGGCTGTGGATCATCCTGCTGCCAGTCCAGCTGCTGCAAGCCCTGCTGCTGCCAGTCCAGCTGCTGTGTCCCCGTGTGCTGCCAGTCCAGCTGCTGCAAGCCCTGTTGCTGCCAGTCCAACTGTTGTGTCCCTGTGTGCTGCCAGTGTAAGATCTGAGGCTCTGGACCCAGACCTTCAGGTTTCTCCTGTTTGGTGAAAGCATTTCTTATGGTTCCCTGAGTCAGTTCGTCCCACACATCCTCCCTGAGGCACCTGCACCTGCTCTAGCTCACCATCCATGCACACACCTCCTTCCATGGCTCAGCTCTCCTCTGGGCCCTGCCTTCAGCCTCCTCACTCCAGAAACGTGTGTTTCCCTGATGCGGGAGGTGTCCTCGCCTGGACGCAGGCACCCAGCCGACTGCCACGATGTTCCCTGCACTTGGGTGTGGACCATCTTCTTCTTCTCCCTGGGCTGACTGAGATGCAAGGTCTGACCCCACAAGGCCAGGCCGACGTTTCTGAGTGATCACTAAGAACCAGCTTCTCAACCACCATCAGGACCCTGGATCCTCCTGGGCCGCTGCCTGTTCTCCTGTGGCCCAAGTGTGACCAGGAAGGTCTCTTTCCTTCCTGTTGTCTCCATCTGTTTAAAAAAAAATAACAAAATAATGAATGAATTTCCTTGCAATAAAGCCTCTCATGTCTGTAAATCAACTGTATACTTGGTGCAATTCTGTCCAACCCCTTTCCTGTGCGGTGACCGATTCTGTGTTCTGATCTGTCAGCTAAGCTGGGAAACGCCTGCCAGCAGGCCTGGTACATTCACAAAAAAGCCTGCCATTCCCTTCTGTCCTCCTCTCGGCCTCAAATATCTTCACAGTCTCTGCTTGCAGGAGAAGAGGGCTCAGCCCGGGGAGGATTCGGCATTCAATGCCCGCCCTAGAGGCGCAGAGGGGCAGGCGGGCCCTGAGTCCTGACGACCAGCCAAGCAGGGCCTTGCACAAGACCCATGGCTTCCAGCTTCCCGCTCTCCTCTGGGGCCTCGGAAGGACCCCAGGCAGGGCAAGGTCGGAGGAGGGAGGAGTGAAGCACCGCTGAGCTCCAGCGCGGTCTGATTCAAACACTCAATTAGCCTTTTACAATCATGAGGTCAACGGCTTTCCATAACTAAAGGTAACCAGGAAGTTACAGAATGGCCCAAGGTGTCCTCGGAGCTCAGTCTCCCGGCAGGAAAGGGGAGTTCCTGGGAAATGACACATTTGGGGACCCTGAGCCAAGTCCATCTGTTTCATGGTGACGTGCCACCACGCTGAGCCTGTTCTCTGACCAGTGTCACAGGCAAGGCTTTAGAAATCACGCACTGGGGAGGAGGGGACGAGAGTGATCTGAGGATGATCTCCAGACAAGCGAACCTGGAGGGAAAAGGTGGAGGGAAGAGAGCACACAGGGAGCGCTGGTGAGAAATGAGCTCCCACAGAACACCCACAGATCTAAGCGACTGCTGATAATGCCAGGGAAGAGCAGAGTGGGAATTTCCAGGACAAATTTCTGAGAGAAAAGAGATGCAATGTAAGGAAAAATGAAATAATCTAGAAATAAAGGCTTAGATTAATTCAGCCACTTTTAGGAGAGGGAATAAAAGTGTGTCAAAGGTGCATCTTGCTAGGGGACATGGCTATCGTTAGTTTCACGACGTTAAAAGGAAATGCTGCTTAAGACAGTTTACTCAAAAATCCAAACTGGGAAACTCCAGAAGGTGGCAGCAGACATGAACGCAGAGTTCATTACATTTGGGCCCTGTACATTCCCACAGCCCACAGGACACCGAGCAACTCGGTAACAAAACCAAAAATGCATGCTGGAGACTTATAACAAAACCAGGTAAGCCAGGCATGGTAGCGCAAACCTGCAGCCCCAGCTACTTGGGAGACTGAGGCAGGAGGATGGCTTGAGCCTAGGAGTCTGAGGCTGCAGTGAGCTGTGATCGCACCACTGAACTCCAGCCTGGGCAATATAAAGTGAGATGGTGTCTTAAGAAAAAGCAGGTGAACCTAAAAGTACAAGAAGGTGGGGATAAATTTCCAAGAGCCACAGTCCCCCAGGGTTTCAGTGTCTGTGCAGGAGAAAGCGAAGAAACATCTAACAGAGACGAAAACAGGGGAACCTCAAAAGAGCCAACAGGTGTGTGCTGGAAAAGCGCAGCATGAATTTTGGATTTGGCTCCTGAAATGGGGAAGGTTTTCCTCCCTCTAGTGGTGAGTGGGTGCAAGGGCCCTCGGTAAGTCCCTAGAGGCAATGGAAGAAAGCTAGGAAGCCTGCCGTGAAACAGATCACAGTGGTAGCCTACTGTTTCCAAAGGAGCTAATGAACAATGAAAGGAAATGATACCAGACATAAATAAGGCCGGGCGCGGTGGCTCACACCTGTAATCCCAGCACTTTGGGAGGTGAGGCAGGAGGATCACTTGAGGCCAGGAGTTCAAAACCAGCCTGGGCAACATAGTGAGACCCCCACCTCTACAAAACATTTTAAAAACTAAGTGGGTATGGTGGTGTGTGTCTTTAATCCCAGCTGCTAGGGAAGTTGAGGCGGGAGGATTGCTTGAGCCTAGGAGGTTGAGGCTGCAGTGAGCTATGATCCTGCCA
The DNA here is from genome assembly GCF_000001405.40 of Homo sapiens. Taxonomy (NCBI): domain Eukaryota; kingdom Metazoa; phylum Chordata; class Mammalia; order Primates; family Hominidae; genus Homo; species Homo sapiens. The sequence continues at coordinate 71,788 of NT_187657.1, read as the reverse complement.
CTGCACTCCAGCCTGGGCAACAGAGTGAAACCCCATCTCAAAAAAAGAGACATAAATGAACAACAAAAGTCATAAATAGAAGAATTGCTAAATGAGGGGACATCACTTAAGAGAAAATTAGAGTTAAAAGAAATCACTCTAGAAATAAAGTCTAAAGTGGGACAAACGTATGAGTAAAAAAGTACAATAAATTTTAAAAACCAAAAAGAAATGAAGAACTAAAAAGGATTCAAGAGACAATGACAAAAATTGAAAAGAAGCAAAGAAGATCCAAGACTCCTAACCAAAGTCATGTATGACAGTCAAACAATTACATAAAAAACTAGAATAAAAAAGCACTAATCAAAAAGAACAGAAGAGAAAAAGAAATATAGATCAGGTGATGCAGTAGAAAATTCAGACTAAGAACATAGGTTTTAAACCCAAATATTTCAGTAATTATTTCACAAGTAAATGGACAAAATGCTCTAGTTTACATATAAAGATTGCTAGACAAGTTTTCTTAAAAAATGTATAACTATATGTAAAGTCAAAAGTTGCATCTAAAACATAAGGATTCAAAAATGTAAAAAAAAAAAAAGAAGTGGGGGATAGAAAAAGACATAACATGCAAAGAAAGCTATACTAATAGTAGGCAAAATAAAAACAAAGGCCTGGCTGGGTGCAGTGGCTCACACCTGTAATCCCAGCACTTTGGGAGTCTGAGGCGCACAGATCACCTGAGGTCGGAAGTTTGAGACCAGCCTGACCAACGTGGTGAAACCCAATCTCTACTAAAACTAACAAAAAAAATAGCTGGGCATGGTGGGGCACGCCTGTAATCCCAGCTACTCAGGAGGCTGAGGGAGAAGAATCGCTTGAACCCAGGAGGCAGAGGTTGCAGTGAGCCAAGATCACGCCACTGCACTCCAGCCTGGGCAACCAGAGTGAGACTCCATCTCAAAAAATATATATATACATATATATATATATGCATGCATCATATATGTGCTGAGAATTTTATAGATCACAATCCTCAGCTAATGAATCCTATATAGACATTGTTTTTATTTAACTTTTTTCTCCTTCATTATCCCAAGTCCCATCATCCTCTCCACCCATAGGCATCCATCCTTGCAGGTATCTTTCCAATTCATCTTCCATAAGTTATTTACAAACATTTGCATATAATCATGACAAATATGTAGCATTTTTCAATGTGTATGTATTTGGTTTTGGTTTTGTTTTTGAGACAGGTCTTGCTCTGTCACCCAAGCTGGAGATAGAGTGCAACGGTGCAATCTCAGCTCACTGCAACCTCCACATCCCGGGCTCAAACGATCCTCCTGCCTCAGCCTCCCAAGTAGCTGGGACTACAGTCGCACCTCCACACCTGGCTAATTTTTGTATTTTTTGTAGAGATAGGGTTTCACCACGTTGCCCAGGCTGGTCTCGAACTCCTGGACTCAAGTAATCCACCTGCCTGGCCCTCCCAAAGTGCTGGGATTACAGACGTGAGCCACTGTGTCCAGCCTTGTGTATGTTATTTAAATTCATGATGGTTATAAATTCTGTTCTGTTTCTTGCGTTTTAAGCAAATCTGGTGCTTTTGGCATGTATTGCTACATGAAAATACAATGCATTATTTCTGGCCACTGAAGTGTGTTCCACTAGATTCCTGCCCCCCATTTCCCACATCCATCACCCTTTTTTGAGCTCTTTGCTGCCATATAATCCACCATGATGAATATCCTCATTGCTCAGCATAACACCCAGGAGTGGTGAACCTAGTGAATGAGTTTTCAATGATCAATGAGTGGGATGCTGAAATGGGGAGCCTGGGAGAACAGATTTCTTTTCCTTTTTTTTTTGAAATACAGTCTCATTCTGTCGCCCAGGTTGGAGTGCAGTGGCACGATCTCAGCTCACTGCAAGCTCTGCCTCCTGAGTTCACGCCATTCTCCTGCCTCAGCCTCCTGAGTAGCTGGGACTACAGGCACCCACCACCACGCCCGGATAATTTTTTGTATTTTTAGTAGAGATGGGTTTTCACTGTGTTAACCAGGATGGTCTCCATCTCCTGACCTTGTGATCTGCCCACCTTGGCCTCCCAAAGTGCTGGAATTACAGGCGTGAGCCACTACACCCGGCCCCAGATTTCTTGAGAAGTATCTGTTTTGGAAGGAAGGCGACTGAGGTGTTGATCAGTGCCATATCTACATCTTCTTCATCAATATGGAATGATGCTTTCATGATCTAAAAAGGCAATAGCCATAGAATGAATGTGCTTCCCAGAATCAAAAGGCCATACCAAAAAAAAAAAATGCAGTTTATAACAACCAAAAATATTGCTCCTCCTCAAGGCTGTGTACAGAGCTAGTATATTTGTGTGATGGATGGATCCCATTACACTGTATGTGCTTGAAAGGCAGAAGTCACGTAACGACTCCCGCTGTATGCTGCAGGTAAGCACATAGCTGCTCACGCCTCTCACTAAATACCACGCGCTAAATGTAACATATCAGTAAGACTGCAGGTGTTTCCATTCTCTTCAAAAACCAGGGGCGTTTTGTTTTCATTGCTTAACTCTGATTAAAAATAAGGTTGAAGGTCTTTTCGCGTCCTCACTAGCCATCTGTGGGTGGTCTATTCCTATGCTTTGCCCACTTCTCCACTAGGTCTCCTGCCCTCTTCTGTTGATTTTCAGGGTTCCTGTCTAGACATTAGCTTCTAGGGGTTATAAATATGGCAAATGGCAAATATCTTCTCCCAGTTGATCAATCTTCTTTTTTTTTGAGACGGAGTTTCACCTTGCTGCCCAGGCGGGAGTGCAATGGTGCAATCTCGGCTCACTGCAACCTCCACCTCCCAGGTTTAAGCAATTCTCCTGCCTCAGCATCCCGAGTAGCTGGGATTACAGGCATGCACTACCACACCTGGCTAATTTTGTATTTTTAGTATAGATGGGGTTTTACCACGTTGGTCAGGCTGGTCTCGAACGCCTGACATCAGGTGATCTGCCCACCTCGGCCTCCCAAAGTGCTGGGATTACAGGGGTGACCCACCACACTTGGCCCCAATCATCTTTTAATGGTTTTTTTGTGGGGTGATATCCAGACATATATCAGTAATTTTGATGTGGTTAAATACAGCATTTTCCTAATTACTGTTTATGTTCTGGGGATCATATTTAAGAATTCATTTCCTGACCCCAAGATAATAAACACAATCTCCTATATTATCTTCCACTCTTTTTATATTTTCCTTTCACTTTTACATATCCTTTTAGGTCTTCAATCCATGTGGATTATAGAGGGTGTGAGGTAGGCATCTAATTTTAATTCTCTGCATAGAGTGAGCCATCTTCCCCATTCAATTTGTTAAAGATTAAAGCTCCTCTGGCTGGGCACGGTGGCTCACGCCTGTAATCCCAGCACTTTGGGAGGCTGAGGCAGGTGGACCACCTGAGGTCAGGAGTTCGAGACCAGCTTGACCAACACGGAGACACCCCGTCTCTACTAAAATACAAAATTAGCCAGTGTGGTGGTGCATGCCTGTAATCCCAGCTACTCGGGAGGCTAAAGCAGGAGAATTGCTTGTACCCGGGAGGTGGAGGTTGTGGTGAGCCAAGATCGTGCCATTGCACTCCAGCCTGGGCAATAAGAGTGAAACTCTATCTCAAAAAAAAAAAAAAAAAATTAAAGCTCTGCAATAGATGGGTCTTTTCTGGGTTCCTGTTCTGTACTTCTAACTATTTATCCATTCATGTGCTAGTAGCAAACTGTTTTAACAACGAAGACTTTATTATGCCTTAATATCAGGCAGAGACTACCCCTTCTGAATATTATTCAGGAGTGTCTCAGTTATTCACAAGTTTGCACATAAATTTTAGATCTATGGAATAATTTTCAGAATTAAATCCTTCTGGAATTTTAATTGAATAAAATCCATTGAATGTATGAATATAAGAAACTGAACTTTTTATAATGTTAAGACTTTCCACCCATGAACATGATATATTTCTCCACTTATGACGGTCTTCTTTTATTTATTTATTTTTTTGAGATGGAGTCTCACTCTGTTGCCCAAGTTGGAGTGTAGTGGCAAGATCTCAGCTCACTGCAACCTCCGCTCCTGGGTTCAAGCCATTCTCCTGCCTCAGCCTCCCAAGTAGCTGGGATTACAGGCATGCACCACCACACCCAGCTAATTTTTGTATTTTTAGTAGAGACAGAGTTTCATCATGTTGGCCAGGCTGGTCTTGAACTCCTGGCCTCAGGTGATCCACCCACCTTAGCCACCCAAAGTGCAGGGATTACAGGTGTGAGCCACCACGCCTGGCCAGATTGTGGACTTTTAAATAGACAAACTGTATATGCACATTTATCTCAATAAAACGGTTTTCTTTTTTTAAAAAAGACACATGGGGGCCAGGCGCAGTGGTTCACGCCTGTAATCCCAGCACTTTGGGCAGCCAAGGCAGGCGGATCATGAGGTCAGGAGTTTGAGACCAGCCTGGCCAGCATGGTGAAACCCCTTCTCTACTAAAAATACAAAAAATAAAATAAAATAAAATAGCTGGGCATGGTGACAGGCGCCTGTAATCCCAGCTACTTGGGAGGTTGAGGTAGAAGAATCACTTGACTCCGGGAGTTGGAGGTTGCAGTGAACCAAGATCTTGCCACTGCACTCCAGCCTAGGCAACAGAACAGGGCTCTGTCTTAAAAAAAAAAAAAAAAAAAAAAAAAAAGACATATGGGGACATGTAGTAGATTTGACATTTGTCCAACTAGAGATGAGAGAGACTCGGGAGAGGTGAGACAGGGAGAGTCTCCCAAGGTTGAAACTGGAACCCTCGGTCCAGGAAGGACATGGCATGAAGCAGGTGGGAGAACCAAATGTGCAAGCCAGCTTCCACAGCAGACATGGAAGGCCAGGGACTCCAGCCTGCACAGCAGACACAGAAGGCCAGGCAGCTCCAGCTTCCACAGTAGACATGGAAGACCAGGACTCCAGCTTTCACAGCGGACACAGAAGGCCAGAGACTCCAGCTTCCACAGCAGACTCAGAAGGCTGGGGACTCCAGCGGAGGGGCAGAGAAAGTGACAGCAGCAACAGACGAAACAGCCGCCAGTGACACCTTTCAAGCACTGAGGAATTTTGTGCCAACCAAAGCATTATTCAAAAGTGAGGGCAGGCCAGGCATAGTGGCTCACGTCTGTAATCCCAGCACTTTGGGAGGCCAAGGTGGGAGGGTTGCTTGAGCCAAGGAACTCTAGACCAGCTTGGACAACTTAGAGAGACCCCATCTCTACACAGAAATTAAAATTAGCTGAGTGTGATGGTGTGCCTTTGTCATCCCAGCTGCTGGGGAGGCTGAGGAGAAAGGATGGCTTGAGCCCAGGAGCAGGAAACAAGCCACCTCCATGTGAAAATGCAGGCTGTCTACTGATGAATGCTCGGGAGGAGCAGGAAACAAGCCACCTCCATGTGAAAATGCAGGCTGTCTACTGATGAATGCTCGGGAGGAGCAGGAAACAAGCCACCTCCATGTGAAAATGCAGGCTGTCTACTGATGAATGCTCGGGAGGAGCAGGAAACAAGCCACCTCCATGTGAAAATGCAGGCTGTCTACTGATGAATGCTCGGGAGGAGCAGGAAACAAGCCACCTCCATGTGAAAATGCAGGCTGTCTACTGATGAATGCTCAGGAGGAGCAGGAAACAAGCCACCTCCATGTAAAAATGCAGACTGTCTACTGATGAATGCTTGTGAGGGAACTTCCGGAGGATGTTTTCAGGAAGAAGGAAGCTGAGCCCGGAAGGAAGAAGTATGGTGTAAGCAAGAACCACGCCTAGAGTTGTTGGTGGATGTGTGGCAAGTTTAAGCAAATACTGACTATAAATAAACAATGATGAGCAATGTGAGAGGAGCTAAGACGCTGGAGAAACTCCCACAGCTGACACCGGAGGGGCTGGGCAGGGGAAGAAGCTGTCCCCAGCTCCCTGCACAACTCTCAGCAGGGGAGGAATAGAGGGCCATCACGTGTAGACAACATTTGTTTAAAAATACACATGAAATGCATAAGGTTGCTGCTAAAAACAGGAATAGTGTATATAACTTCTAAGTCAGTCAAAGCAAAACAAAATAAAAACAAAAACAGAACCTTAAAAACTCCATCTAAAAGAAGAGGGGAAGGAAGCACTACCACAGGATGGTGAAATGCAAAGGGTGGTGGGAAGCAGCCCACGTATGTCAGAAATCACAGCAAACCCCACAGGCTTAGCTCATCGGGTAAAGAACAGAGACCCCAAAATATGGGAGCTTTTAAAGCAGCCCCACAGTAGTTACCTCACCCAGAAGCTTGCAGAAAGGCTGAAAGAAGCTGAATGAAAATGACTGCAGAAAAGGGAGGGAGGGAGGGAGGGAAGGAAGGAGGGACAGATAGAAAGCCCAGATGGCAGTGACTCTCTATCGCACGCCTCCTGGCCTGACAGTCCACGTCCAGCAGACAGTCACGCACCCCAGCACCCGCATGTTTAGAAAGTGCAAAAAGAACAATGGAGAAAATAAAGATATGAGCAGAACTAAATAAAAATGTTTAACACATACAACAAACAGAATCAACAAAATCAAAAGCTGGTCTTTCAAAAGACAAAGAAAATCAACAATATTTAGCAAAACCAATGAGGAAAAAAAGGGTCGGGCAGGAGAAAGAGCATGTATAACCTGAAGCAGGGATGAAAAACGGCAAATAGGCTGGGCACGGTGGCTCACGCCTGTAATCCCAGCACCGTGGGAGGCCAAGGCAGGTGGATCACCTGAAGCCAGGAGTTCGAGACCAGGCTGGCCAACATGGCAAAACCCTATCTCTACTAAAAATACAAAAATTAGCCAGGCATGATAGCAGGTGCCTATAATCCCAGCTACTCGGGAGGCTAAGGCAGGAGAATTACTTGAACCCGGGAGGCAGAGGTTGTGGTGAGCCGAGATCACACCACTGTACTCCAGCCTGGGTGACAGAGTGAGACCCTGCCATAAAAAAAAAAGAAAGAAAAGAAAGCAAATAATGACAAATTTAGCAGCTATTAAAAATAACAGGCTACTAAGCCAGGCGTGGTGGCACACGGTAGGGATTTGTAGTAGTCAAATGTGGTAGTCTGTAGTAGTCCCAGCTACTTCAGAGGCTGAGGACCACTTGAGGCCAGGCGTGAGTTCGAGACTGCAGTGAGCTATGATGGTGCCTGTGAACGGCCACTGCACCCCAGCCTGGACAACATAGCAAGATCCCATCTTCAAAAACAGAGGCAACTATGAAAAGTACATCCCAATAAATTTGAAAAACTTAGAATAAATGACATCTATGTTAAGAAGAAACACAGGAGGATGAGGCAGGAGAATTGCTTGAACTCGGAGGCAGAGGTTGCAGTGAGCCGAGATCACACCACTGCACTCCAGCCTGCGCAACAGAGCGAGACTCTGTCTCAAAAAAAAAAAAAAAAAAAAGAAGAAGAAGAAGAAGAAGAAACAAAAGGCTGGGCGCTGTGGCTCTCGCCTGTAATCCCAGCACTTTGGGAGGCTGAGGCAGGTGGATCATGAGGTCAGGAGACCAGCCTGGCCAACATGGTGAAACCCTGTCTCTACTAAAAATACAAAAATTAGCTGGGTGTGGTGGCACGCGCCTGTAATCCCAGGGGAGACTGAAGCAGGAGAATTGCTCAAACCAGGGAGTCAGAGGCTGCAGTGAGCCGAGACCATGCCACTGCACTCCAGCCTGGCAACAGAGCAAGACTCCATCTCAAAATAAAAGAATCCAGAAAATTCAAAGAACTTCAGACACCAATAAAAATAATAATGATCTTGGCCAGGTGTGGTGGCTCACACCTGTAATCCCAGCACTCTGGGAGGCCGAGGTGGGTGGATCACTTGAGGTCAGGAGTTCAAGACCAGCCTGACCAACATGGTGAAACCTTGACTCTACTAAAAATACAAAAATTAGCCAGGTGTGGTAGCACATGCCCGTAATCCCAGATACTCGGGAGGCTGAGGCAGGAGAATTGCTCGAGCATGGAAAGCGGAGGTTGCAGTGAGCCGAAATCGCACCATTGCGCTACAGCCTGGGAGACAGAGCAAGACTCTCCATCTCAAAAATTAATAATAATAACTATCTCAATTTTGTAAAGTGGGCCAAGGACGTGAAATTAACGAGACTCTAATGACAGGTGACCATATGGAAAGAGGCACAGCATGGCTAGTAACCAGGAAGAGGGAATATTAAACCACAGTGTGTAACACTGTGTTACACACCCACATGAAGGGTGTAAGTTGACAGTTGCAAGTTTTGGTGGGGGTGCCAGGAAACAGGAGCTCTCTGGCAATGCTGGTTGGACAGCAGCTGGCTGGGGGGATCCCTTGGGAAGACAGCTTGGTAACAAGAACCTCCTGACTTTCAGGCACCCATACCTGCAGGAGGGGTTTTGGGCAAGAAAGTTGCAGCTTGCTTGAAATAGCAACAAAAAGGAAACAAAAGGTCCATCAACAAGTAAATGGATAAGTCAATGTATATTTAGAAATCAGAGAAAACAAATAAATTAAAACCATATGTATCCCTAGAGAAAATCTCTTTAGCCTAACACCTATTTTTTTCAAAAGCAATTTACAGAAAGAGAAATACAGTGTAATACCCATTACATAAAGTTTTCAGCATGTAAAATTTTTTTTTCTTTTTTCTTTTCTTTTTTTTTTTTTTTTTTTTGAGATAGAGTCTCACTCTGTTGCCCAGGCTGGAGTGCAATGGCGTGATTTCAGCTCACTGCAACCACTGCCTCCCAGGTTCAAGCGATTCTCCTGCCTCAGCCTCCCGAATAGCTGGGATTACAGGCACATGCCACCATACCTGGTTAATTTTTGTATTTTTAGTAAAGACGAGGTTTCACCATGTTAGTGAGGCTGGTCTCAAACTCCTGGACTCAAATGATCCGCCCACCTCAGCCTCCCAAAGTGCTGAAATTACAGGTGTGAGCCACCGCGCCTGGCCACAAAACATTTTTAAAGGAACATACATATTAAGTAGGAGTGTGAGGACCTTCATGAGAGTGGTGAATTCCAAATTCAAGAAATTATTAGGGTGGGACAGAAACAATATGGAGAGATGGAGGAACAGAGACTTCATTTATTTATGCCATTTTTTCCCAAGTTGAGTAGGGTTTTTTTTTACATTTTTTAAATATATTACTCTTTATACCATCGTTCAACTAAAATAGATCACTTTTTTTTTTTTTTTGAGACAGAGTCCCGCTCTGTTGCCCACACTAGAGTGCAGTGGTGTGATCTCTGCTCACTGCAACCTTCACCTCTGGGTTCAAGCCATTCTCCTGCCTCAGCCTCCCAAGTAGCTGGAGTTACAAGCATGCACCACCATGCCTGGCTAATTTTTGTATTTTTAGTAGAGATGGGGTTTTGCCATGTTGGGCAGGCTGGTCTCCAACTCCTGACCTCAAATGATCCACCTGCCTCGGCCTCCCAAAGTGCTGGGATTACAGATGTGAGCCACCACACCCAGTTAATTTTTGTGTTTTTAGTAGACACGAGATTTCACCATTTTGGCCAGGCTGGTCTCCAACCCCTCACCTCAAGTGATCCACCTGCCTAGGCCTCCCAAAGTGCTGAGATTACAGGTGTGAGCCACCATGCCCAGCCTAAAATAGATGCTTTTGTAAATCCAGTGTGACTCTGGAGTCAACAGGGAGAGGCTAGACCCTTGGGGGCCTCCATTAAGTCTGGACACAGATTCAGCAAGAGAGCAGCAGCCCACTGAGCAGCCCATACACCAAGGGGCGGATTTCTAGAGGAAACAAGAAAAAGGGGCCCTAAAAATGGCACAAACAGGAACCAGGAAATGTGTGCCCAGCCTCACACATGACCCTGGGCAGGGATATAAAGGGTCCAGGCTCAGGGAGCTCCACACCTGCACCTCCCTCTCACCTGCTCCTCTACCTGCTCCACCCTCAATCCACCAGAACCATGGGCTGTTGCGGCTGCTCCGGAGGCTGTGGCTCCAGCTGTGGGGGCTGTGGCTCCGGCTGTGGGGGCTGTGGCTCCGGCTGTGGGGGCTGTGGCTCTGGCTGTGGAGGTTCTGGCTCCAGCTGCTGTGTGCCCGTCTGCTGCTGCAAGCCCGTGTGCTGCCGTGTGCCAACCTGTTCCTGCTCCAGCTGTGGCAAAGGGGGCTGTGGCTCTTCTGGGGGCTCCAAGGGGGGCTGTGGCTCCTGTGGAGGCTGCAAGGGGGGCTGTGGCTCTTGTGGGGGATCCAAGGGGGGTTGTGGCTCCTGTGGGGGCTCCAAGGGGGGCTGTGGCTCTTGTGGGGGATCCAAGGGTGGCTGTGGTTCCGGCTGTGGGGGATGTGGCTCCAGCTGCTGTGTGCCTGTCTGCTGCTGCAAGCCCATGTGCTGCTGTGTGCCAGCTTGTTCCTGCTCCAGCTGTGGCAAAGGGGGCTGTGGCTCCTGTGGGTGCTCCAAGGGGGCCTGTGGTTCTTGTGGGGGCTCCAAGGGGGGCTGTGGCTCCTGTGGAGGCTGCAAGGGGGGCTGCGGTTCTTGTGGGGGATCCAAGGGGGGTTGTGGCTCCGGCTGTGGGGGCTGTGGCTCCGGCTGCGGTGTGCCCGTGTGTTGCTGTTCCTGTTCCAGTTGTGGCTCTTGCGCGGGGTCTAAGGGAGGCTGCGGGTCATCCTGCTCCCAGTGCAGTTGCTGTAAGCCCTGCTGCTGTTCCTCAGGCTGTGGGTCATCCTGTTGCCAATCCAGCTGCTGCAAGCCCTGCTGCTCCCAGTCCAGTTGCTGTGTCCCCGTGTGCTGCCAGTGCAAGATCTGATTTCTGGCTTTGCAGGACTCTTACCATGGCCAGGCATTCCTGCCCAGCCTTTACCTCCTTTTCCTGGCACCCAGTGAGCCAGACTCTCCTTCCCCACCCACTACCCTATCTCCCACCCTCCTGCCTTGCCAAGCATGAACACTTCTCTTTGACCTTCTACCAAGAAATGCCATGGGCCCATGCATCCAAGAAGAATGACTTTCAAGGCCTCCCTTCCAGGCATCTGGAGACCAGCCCCCCACCGCCCCAGCCACCTGCAGCAAATGCCTATCCGCAAGCCCTGCCTGCTGGCACCACATCCAGCACGGACAGCCCTGCAGGACAGCCCAGGGTGCTTGCTCACTCTGCAGTCACTAGGAGTTCAGATCTCTGTCCTTTAAACATCCAATAAACCGCTCACCCCAGCACCCCATAGCTGTCTTGGTATATTTATGTTTATTTCCCTCTCGAGGCAGGTGGGGGGCATCTGTGGCTACACTGGGTCCCCTGGGAACCACACACACACACACACACACACACACACACACACACACACCGGCCCTGAACCAAACCGGAGCAGGCAGGTGGGCGCCCTGGCCAGCAGGGATCCTGGATACATGGTGGCGGTCAGAGGCAGGAGCACCAGCAGCCACCTGGCTCAGCCCCTTGCCGTGCAGCCTCTACCACACCCTCTCAGCATCTGGCTCAGGGCGGGGGTGCCTTGCCTTGATCAGGCAAAAGCAATCACTAGGGGGTCATCATGGCCTGTTACCACGCGGTCTTATTCTCTTTGGGCTGATGTAACAGAACACCATGGACTGGCATGTACAACAGAAGTGTATTTCTCAGGGTTCTGGAAGCTGGCAGTCTGAATTAAAGATGCCGGCGGCCAGGTGCGGTGGCTCATGCCTGTAATCCCAGCACTTTGGGAGGCCGAGGGGGGCGGATCACCAGGTCAGGAGATTGAGACCATCCTGGCTAACACGGTGAAACCCCCCTCTCTACTAAAAATACAAAAATTTAGCCGGGCATGGTGGCAGGCGCCTGTAGTCCCAGCTACTCAGGAGACTGAGGCAGGAGAATGGTGTGAACCCGGGAGGCGGAGGCTGCAGTGAGCCGAGATCGCGCCACTGCACTCCAGCCTGGGCTACAGAGCAAGATTCCGTCTCAAAAAAAACAAAAAACAAACAAACAAAAAAAGCCAGAAGAATGCAAATATGACATTCCAGAGGGGATGTATATGGAAGGTCAGCAATCCCATTGCAGCAACCAGAGAAGGCCACATTAATTACAGAACTCAGATGGTAAAATAAATAAATAAATAAATAAATAAATAAATAAATAAATAAATAACTTCAGGAAATCCTACCGTATGTATCTTACCACAATTTTTTTTTTCTGAGATGGAGTCTCACTCTGTTGCCCAGGCTGGACTGCAGTAGTGTGATCTCCACTCACTGCAACCTCTGCCTCCTGGGTTCAAGCTATTCTCCTGCCTCAGCCTCCTGAGTTTCTGGGACTACAGGCATGAGCCACCATGCCCAGCTAATTTTGTTTTGTTTGTATTTTTAGTAGAGATGGGGTTTCACCATGTTGGCCAGGCTGGTCTCAAACTCCTGACCTCAAGTGATCTACCTGCCTCACCCTCCCAAAGTGCTGGGATTATAGGCGTCAGCCACTGCATCCGGCCCACAATTTTGAAATACCGGAAAAATGTATCTATAAAAAAGACATTGGAGAACTGTAGAAGCAACAAGAACCAGATGAAAACATTCAGAGAGAGCCCTTCCAAGATGAGCTGAATGTCGGCTTCTCTCCCTTTAAGGAATTAACCAGTGCTGGGTATGAGCTGAGCCTCGGTCCCACTGGGGAAGAGGAATTCTACTGGGAGAAATACCCAGCAGGGCTCTTGGCAACCACAGGGGCTGGAGCAGAAAACTGGGACATTTGCAAATTTCTGGGGAGGCTAAGAAGTGAGGCCTGAGGCCTCCGCAGGTGCGCTGAAGTCTCGCATAGCCTTGTGGAGCTTAGTACACAGAGCTTTTCTAGAGGAAGGGGTCCTGCCCCAGGCACAGGTTAATCTGGCCCTTAAGACATTTTCCAAATTTTGAAGCTGCCTGAGCAGACAACTAAAGAGCTAAGCCTGTACCTCAGGGAAAGAAGTGACTCTCTGACAGCCTGTCAGGGATAAGAAGACACGGACTGGCCAGGCTCTTAACCAAAACTCCAGGAAAGCCACACAGAGGGACGATTGACTGAAGTGGCCCAATCCCTAACTGAGCGGGTAGACGAAATGTTCAGCTCCTCTCCCTGTCTGCACTAGAGAGGGAGGCCACGTGCTCACTGTTGGAAGAGAGCAGCTAGACCCCCACAGTCCTTAGATGGAGACCCCCACGGTCCCGAGATATAGACCTCCACGGTCCTTAGATACAGACCCCCATGGTCCTGAGATATGGAGCCCCACGGTCCTGAGATATAGACCCCCACGGTCCCGAGATACAGACCGCCACAGTCCTTAGATATAGACTCCCACAGTCCCTAGATATAGACCCCCACGGTCCCTAGACACAGATCCCTACGGTCCCTAGATACAGACCCCCACGGTCCTGAGATACAGAACCCCACGGTCCCGACATATGGTCCTTAGATATGGACCCCCACGGTCCCGAGATATAGACCCCCCACGGTCCCGACATATGGACCCCCATGGTCCCTAGATATGGACGCCACGGTCCTTAGATATAGACTCCCACAGTCCCTAGATATAGACTCCCACGGTCCCGAGATACAGACCCCCACGGTCCTGAGATACAGATCCCCACGGTCCTGAGATATGGACCCCCACGGTCCCTAGATATAGACCCCACGGTCCTTAGATATAGACTCCCACAGTCCCTAGATACAGATCCGCACGGTCCCTAGATACAGATCCCCACGGTCCCTAGATACAGACCCCCACGGTCCTGAGATACAGAACCCCACGGTCCTTAGATATAGACCCCCACGGTCCTGACATATAGACCCCCCATGGTCCCAAGATATGGACCCCCACAGTCCTTAGATATGGACCCCCACGGTCCCGAGATATAGACACCCCCACGGTCCCGACATATGGACCCCCCACGGTCCCTAGATATGGACCCCCACGGTCCCTAGATATGGACCCCCACGGTCCTGAGATACAGAACCCCACGGTCCTTAGATATAGACCCCCACGGTCCTGACATATAGACCCCCCATGGTCCCAAGATATGGACCCCCACGGTCCTTAGATATGGACCCCCACGGTCCCGAGATATAGACACCCCCACGGTCCCGACATATGGACCCCCCACGGTCCCTAGATATGGACCCCCACGGTCCTTTGAGGCATACCTCTGACAGAAAGCACGAGATACAGGACACAGCAGGAAACAGTGATCAATAATCATGCGGAAAGCTAACAGAAGAAGCAGATTACAGATAAGCCACATATTGGAGTTAGGAAACAAGGGCTTTAAAATAACTATGATTGGGCCAGGCACAGTGGCTCACGCTTGTAATCCCAGTGCTTTGGGAGGCCGAGGAGGGCGGATCACCTGAGGTCAGGAGTTCGAGACCAGACTGGCCAACATGGTGAAACCCCATCTCTACTAAAAATATAAAAAGTAGCCAAGGGCCAGGCACGGTGGCTCACGCCTGTAATCCCAGCACTTTGCGAGGCCGAGGTGAGTGTATCACAAGGTCAGGAGTTCAAGACCAGACTGGCCGACATGATGAAACCCTGTCTGTACTAAAAATATAAAAAGTAGCCAAGGGCTGGGCACAGTGGCTCACGCCTGTAATCTCAGCACTTTGGGAGGCCGAGGCAGGCAGATCACAGGTCAGGAAATCGAGACCAGCCTGGCCAACATGGTAAAATCCTGTCTCAACTAAAAATACAAAATATTAGCCGGGTGTAGTGGCATGCGCCTGTAGTCCCAGCTACTCAGGAGGGTGAAGCAGGAGAATCGCTTGAACCCGGGATGTGGAGGTTGCAGTGCGCCGAGATCGCACCACTGCACTCCAGCCTGGGCAACAAGAGCAAGACTCTATCTCAAAAAAAAAACAAAAAAAAAAGTAGCTGGGCATGGTGGTGGGCACCTGTAATCCCAGCTACTTCGGAGGCTGAGACAAGAGAATTGCTTGAACCTGGGAGGCAGAGGTTGTAGTGAGCCAAGATTGCACCATTGCACTCCAGCCTGGGCAACAGAGCAAGACTCCGTCTCTAAATAAATAAATAAAACAATATTCAATGTCCTATAAAATTTTTAAACTTTGTGGAAGTAAAATATATGACAACAGCACAGAAGTCAGGAGAGGGATAAACAGAATTAAATAGTTGTAAGGTTCTTGCCTTGTTTATGAAGACACGAGATTATTAACTGATAATATGTTATCATAATCTCTGGATGGGTGCAGAAGCTCACGCCTGTAGTCCCAGCACTTCGGGAAGCCAAGGCAGATGGATTGCTCAAGACCAGGAATTCAAAACCAGCCTGGGCAACATGGCAAAACTCCATCTCTACCAAAAATACACAAATTAGCCGGGTGTGTTGGCAGGTGCCTATAGTCCTAGCTACTCAGGAGGCTGAGGTGGGAGAATCACCTGAGCCTGGGAGGTCAAGTCTGCAGTGAGCCATGATTATGCCACTGCACTCCAGCTTGGATAACAGAGTGAGACCCCATCTCAAAAAAATAAATAAATAAATATAACCATCTCTAAGGTAGCCATTAAAGGATAATGAATACATAACCCGGAAGCTAACAGAAGACAGAAATTAGGCCAGGTACGGTGGCTCATGCCTGTAATCCCAGCTCTTTGGGAGGCCAAGGCAGGCTGATCACTTGAGGTCAGGAGTTTGAGACCAGCCTGGCCAACATGGTGAAACCTCGTCTCTACTAAAAGTACAAAAAATTAGCCAGGTGTGGTGGCCCGTGCCTATAATTCCAGCTACTTGGGAGGCTGAGGCACAAGAATCGCTTGAATCTGGGAGGCAGAGGCTGCAGTGACTCGAGATTGCACCATTGCACTCCAGCCTGGGTGACGGAGTGAGACTCTGTCTCAAAAAAAAAAGGAAAGAAAAAAAAACAGAGAGAAGTTAAATAAGATGCATGTTGTTTAGAAAAAACAAACCCTAAATATCAAGATCCAGGAAGATAGAAAGCAAAAGAATAAAAAAAAAGATATATTAGGCAAACATTAATGTTTTCAAAAACCTAGTATAATGATAGTAAGATCAGACAATGTGGACTTTGAAACAAAACCATTATTAGAAGAGATAACATTTCATGATGATAGGAGAGTTCATGCAACCAAACAGAAAACAATCCTAAACTTCTATGTGCCAAATAACTGAGCTTTAAAACATATAAAGCAAACATTGACAAAACTAAAATAAGAAATAGATAAATCCACAAATACAATTGGGACTATAATTGGGAATGTATAGGAATAATTGGGAATTTTAATGAACCTCTCTCTCACTCCACACAATGTGCCAGCTTCCCCAAACCCTCAGACACTCTGGCCTGCCCAGCAGCTGCCAAGAGGGGCCAGTAACACCACCTGAAGATGCAGGGAACTTAATTCCTCGGGAGAGCAACTCTGACCTATGAGAGCAGAAGACAGGAAGGAGCTTGCAGAGAAACTATTCTCCCTTCCTCCTCCCTGTGGACCATTCTGAGGTGGAGCATCGCTGTATGGTCTCGTGGGAGAGGGTGTGCAGACGTGGCCAGCTGAGCTGCAACTTCCAAAAAGCCACAGCAGCTGAGTAAGAAGCAGCCTTGCCTCAGCTTCACCTCCTCCCTGGCTCGGTGTGTTCCTCCCTTCCAGAAAATGTGTACACTGAGCTTTGCATCTGGCTACTTTCTGGGGAATGGAAGCTAAGACTCCCACCATCACCATGTCCACTTAGCATTATAATGGTGATGCCAGCCCATGCAATATGACAAGAAACAAGCAATGTGAGGTTTGGAAAGAAACGAAAGTGCAGATTCATAGATGATAGGGCCATCTACCTGGGAAATCCAAGTGAACCTACAGGCGGCCTGCTTGGAGGAGTAAGAGAAGTCAGAGAGGGTGATCGACAGCCAGCCCATGACAGGCAACAACACATCAGAAATTGTGGTTTTTATAACCTTTCACAAAGCAACCGAAATCATAAGCTCAGGAGTAATATACGCAATGGGAAGACTGTAAGGCCTCCCTGGGGAAGATTATAAGGCAATATAGAAGGACGTCTTCAAACTAAATATGGAGTCTGTGTGAGAAGACACTCCAGTGTCCTCCTAGTCAACCCATCAAGTAATGCAGCTATAATCAAAATGCATAAAATCCCAAGTGTTGGCAAGGGTTTTATTTTATTTTATTTTGAGACAGAGTTTTGCCCTTGTTGCCCAAGCTAGAGTGCAATGGCACAATCACAGCTCACCGCAACCTCCACCTCCCGGGTTCAAGGGATTCTCCTGCTTCAGCCTCCTAAGCAGCTGGGATTACAGGTGCCCACCACCACACCCGGCTAATTTTTGTATTTTTTAGTAGAGATGGGGTTTCACCATGTTGGCCACGCTGGTCTCAAGCTCCTGACCTCAGGTGATCCGCCCACCTCAACCTCCCAAAGTGCTGGGATTACAGGTGTTAGCCACCATGCCCAGCCCTGGCAAGGGTTTTAAATGGAGTTCTTCTAGCCTGCTGGCAAGTTATTAGAATTCTCCACTCAGGGCAACTTTGCAATATCTGGGGACATGGGAGTTGGGGGCAGGGGGCGCTGTGGCTCACGCCTGTCATCCCAGCACTTTGGGAGACCGAGGCGGGCAGATCACCTGAGGTCAGGAGTTCGAGACCAGCCTGGCCAACATGGTGAAACCCTGTCTCTACTAAAACTACAAAAATTAGCAGGGCATGATGGCAGGCGCCTGTAATCCCAGCTACTCAGGAGGCTGAGGCAGGAGAATCGCTTGAACCCAGGAGGTGGAGGTTGCAGTGAGCTGAGATCGCACCAGTGTACTCCAGCCTGGGCAACAGAGCGAGATGCCATCCAAAAAAAAAAAAAAAAAAACTAGGAAAGAAAATAATCCTGTAATCCCAGCATTTTGGAAGGCTGAAGGCCAAGAGAGGAGGATTGCTTGAGCCCAGGAATTTGCGACCAGCCTCGGTAACATAGTGAGACTTCATCTCTACAAAAAAAATTTTTTTTTTCTGAGATGGAGTTTCATTCCGTTGCCCAGGCTGGAGTACAGTGCCACGATCTTGGCTCACTGCAAGCTCCGCATCCTGGGTTCAAGCGATTCTGGTGTCTCAGCCTCCCGAGTAGCTAGGATTACAGGCACGCACCACCACACCTGGCCAAAAAAAATTTTTTTAATTAGCTGGAGATGCTGGCACATGCCTGTAGTGCCAGCTACTCAGGAGGCTGTGATGGGAGGATCCCTTGAGCTCAGGAGGTTGAGACTGCTGTGAGCTATATTTCCACCAGTGCCCTCTGGCCTGGGTGACAGAGTGAGATCCTGTCAAGAAAGAAAAGGAAGACAGGAAGGACAGAAGGACAGAAGGAAGGAATGAAGGAAATGGAGAAAGAGAGAGAGGGAAGAAAGAAAAATAATCTGAGAAGTGTGTTACAAACATGTAAGAGTTGGGTGTGGTGGCACGTGCCTATAATCTCAGCTACGGGAAGCCTGAAGCAGGAGGATCACTTGGGCCCAGGAAGAGTTCAGTCCAGCCTGGATAAAATAGAGGGATCCCATATCTCTTTTTTTAAGCATATACAATAGGATGCTGTCTGCTGCAGTTTTTTTGTTTGTTTTCTTTTTTGTTTTTTGTTTGAGATGGAGTCTCGCTCTGTCACCCAGGCTGGAGTGCAGTGGTGCGATCTCGGCTCACTGCAAGTTCCGCCTCCCGGGTTCAAGCAATTCTCCTGCCTCAGCTTCCCAAGTAGCTGGGACTACAGGCGCCCGCCACCACGCCCAGCTAATTTTTTGGATTTTTAGTAGAGACAGAGTTTCATCACATTAGCCAGGATGGTCACGATCTCCTGACCTCATGATCCACCCGCCTCGGCCTCCCAAAGTGCTGGGATTACAGGCATGAGCCACCGTGCCCGGCCTGCTGCAGTTTTTTATAGCCCAAATATGAAAATAATCTAATATGTAAAAAATAAAGAATTGGTTCCACTCTTGCCATACACCCATGAAATACAGAACCACACAGACGTTATCATCAGGTTGTGGGAAAGCAGCAATGTGGACGAATCTCAAAAGTATTTCCTTAAGGCCAAGCAAGGTGGTTCACGCCTGTAATCCCAGCACTTTGGGAGGCCAAGGTGGGCAGATCACCTGAGGTCAGGAGTTCGAGACGAGCCTGGCCAACGTGGTGAAACCCAATCTCTACTAAAAAATACAAAATTTAGATGGGCGTGGTGGCGGGCGCCTGTAATCCCAGCTACTCAGGAGGCTGAGGCTGGCGAATCGCTTGAAACCGGGAGTCGGAGGTTGCAGCGAGCTGAGATCGCGCCACTCCACTCCAACCTGGGGGAACAAAGAGACTCTGTCTGGAAAAAAAAAAAAGTATTTCCTTGAGTGAAAGATGCCAGGGGCAAAAGTCCTCTCATTGTTTGTTTCCATTGTTTCCATTTTTATAAAGTGTACGAACAGATAGCAGTAACTCACGGTGACAGGTCAGAGGGTGAGGACAGGGCACCAGGGAACTTCTGGGATAATAAAGTTTCTAGGTCTCATTTTGATGGTGATAAAACTACATATACAGTTGTCAAAACCCATCTACTGGCTGGGTGCAGTGGCTCACGCCTGTAATCCCAGCACTTTGGGAGGCCAAGACGGGAGGATCACCTGAGGTCAGGAGTTCGAGACCATCCTGGCCAACATGGTGAAACCCCATCTCTACTAAACACACAAAATTAGCTGGGCATGGTAGTGGCCGCCTGTAATCCCAGCTACTTGGGAGGCTGAGGCAGGAGAATCGCTTGAACCCAGGAGATGGAGGTTGCAGTGAGCTGAGATCGTACCACTCCACTCCAGCCTGGGCGACAAGAATGAGACTCCGTCAAAAAAAAAAAAAAATCTACTTGAATAATGGGTGCCAAGGGCTGGGGAGGGGGTTGGGAAGTTGGTGTCTAATGAGGACAGAGTAGAGTTCCAGTTTTCCAAGACGAAAAGCTCCAGAGATGGGTGGTGGTGACGGTTACACAGAAAGTGAATGTACTTAATGCTGCCAAATTCACTTAAAAATAGTTAATATGGCACACCGTATGTTCCTGCATGCATTTTACCACAAGAAAAAATCATACGGTTTTTAAAGAAATAACGGGAGAAAAAGTCTACTTGAACAGCTGGGATGGGCATTGTATTGAGTTAGCTATGCCTTGACTTAAAAAAGTTGGGGAAATAGTGGCATGGAGGTTTGCTACACATAATTAGTTGCAACGATTATATGCACATTAGCGAGAAAAGTGAACCCCACTGTTCCTTCTGCGCAATAGGGATGCTTTAAGAAACGACCTTGGACGTCCTCCCGGAGGCGAGAGGAGCTTCAGGCGGCCGAGCCTGCGCCACGGCCTGCGGACGGCAGAGGGCGCGCGCGAACCGCCGGGCCGGCCCCGCTCGGACCCCCACCTGCACGGCCCGGAGCGCGCGTCCCCGCCCCAGGCTGCTGGACCCCCGCACGTCCCTCGCCGCGGCCTTGGCGCCTCCCCGGCCCCTCGCAAGGTCCTCCCGAGCCCCAGAGACCCCCGAGGCGGCGTCTACAGGCCCGGGCCGGGACTGACACCGCAGCCCCCTCCCTGGTCGCGCCTCCCACCCCCGTCCACACCTGTGCCGGGAGGCGGTGCGGCCGCCGAGCTGAGCTGAGCCGAGCCGACCTGGTCGGGCACCCAGGCCCCTGAGCCCACCGCCCAGGCCGGCCTCTGCTGGGTGCAAAGGCAACGTGGAACTAAGGCGGGGCTGCAGAAAAACCACCGTCCTCCCCAGGGTGCCACCTCCCTAGTCCGCCAGCCTGGTTAGGGGCAGAACCTAACGCTCTCAGTGCTTATTTGCATGAAAATGGCTACGGGGATTATAACAATCGCCGCCCAGGGCACTCTGCCCCCCAGGGACAGCCCAGGCCCTCCAGGGGAGCCGTATTCCCCTCCAAACCGCCCCCTGGGAGCCTCCAGGAGGGACTAAAGGTCGCTGCCTGCCACCTGCTCCAGCCTGGCCAGTAGCTGCCCAGGGTATAACCAGAGCTCTTAGGGGACAATGGGCACTCCCAGGCCACAGGCAGATGCTGGCCACATCCCAGCTGGGCAGAAGACACGCCCATCGGGCTCACCTAGGCCTGGCAGGGGGAACAAGCCAGGTGAGGCTTCCCCCCAGGCGACAGCCCCTCTATCTAACGGCTAACAGCTCCCATGCCTGCGGGTCCCAGGTCCTTTCAGGCCTGTGACTGCCTCCTCAAGGACCTCCTTCGCCCCCTCCGGGTCTCAGCCTGAATCCTCCTGCCCCCTCCCAGGGCCAAGCCTCCCCCACTTTTCAAACCCAGCAAGGCTGCAGCAGGCAGCCCTACTCACCTGGCCCCGCATCCGGGTCCGGCACCTCCAGTCTCAGGGTCCCCCTCCAGCCAGGGCCTCCCTTCTCGCAGGGCCCTCCCGCTTTGGGGCGCAGCCCCAACCCCAATAACCCCTGGGCTCCCTTCCGGGACAGACCCACTCCCGCCAAGGCGTTTGTTTGTGCTGTGTGCCAGCTCTGCGCCAGGACGCACTCCACCGCCACCCCCACCCCATACGGGCCACTGCCGCTCCCCTCAGGCTGGCCAGGGAAGGGAGCTGCAAGCGCTTATTAATCGCCAACGGTGTACTCAGCTCTGAGGCTGGCAGGAAGACTGAGTATGGAAAGGGGGAGCCCCAAACCCCGCTCAGCATCCCCTGCTGCCCACAGTACTCCCCACCCCCAGCCATCACCATTGGCACCCTGAGCTCCGTGGTCCTGGTGCCCACTGAGGGTTCTGCGGTCGTTGCGCCAGCTTCATTTTCTGTGGCCCTTCATTCAAC
Source organism: Homo sapiens (assembly GCF_000001405.40). Classification (NCBI taxonomy): domain Eukaryota; kingdom Metazoa; phylum Chordata; class Mammalia; order Primates; family Hominidae; genus Homo; species Homo sapiens. Next base: position 49,910 of record NT_187657.1, on the reverse strand, counting down.
CAGCGGCCGAAGCCCCCTTCAGAGCCCCAGGGTGACCCTGGGGGGCCCAGGCTGGCTGGGGGCTCGGGGGCAGAAGGCGGATCCCCCCACGCTCCCTCTCCACCCGGCAGCGGGGAGGGGGCCTTTTAGAAATGTCTAGGGTGTCTCGTGACAACCCCCCCCCGCCAAAAAATCATTACTTTCAAAGGCTCCCAGGCTCCTGGGCAGGGGTCTTTGTCCCCTTCCTCCAGGACAGCGAGGCCTCCCCCGCCCTCCCCCTGCAGCGCGAGTCTGACCCCCTTGCTCCCGCCCAACACCTGCCGAAGGTGCAATTACCCGTGCGTTCTTCCTGCCCCGGACTCGCCGCGTCCCCGCCGCACGCGCGGAGGTGTTCCCACAGCGGTCGGCGGGGTGCGGCCCCTCAACAGCCCGCACAGGGGTCGTCGGGGCGGCTTTCCACGGAAGCGGGAGGGCTGGGGGTCGTGGGGGGTCGGCGGCGTCCTGGGGAGCCCGCCCCCGGAGTTCGCGGATGTGTGACCCGAGGCAGCCGGCTCGCCTCTGAGGGTCCCAGGTCCGCCCGAGTGCAGGGGGATCCGGCTCCGTCCTGCGGGGGTCGCGGCGGGGCGAGCACAGCCGCTGCAGGTAAAACGCCGCGCCTGGGTCTGGGGAGGGCTCCCCGGCGGCGGCCCAGCGCCAACAAAGGCCAGGAGAAGGGGGGAGCGGCGCCGGCGCCTGTCCGGGTCGGGGGGAGGACTTCGCGCCCGGAGCCGCTCAGCTGGACCGTCCGGGGTCTGTGCGACGCGGCCGGGGGCCCGGGTGACGGGGGGCCTGGGTGACGCGGGGCCCGGGGCCGGGAGGGCTTCCTGGAGGCGGGGTCCCGGACGCCGCGTGGTCCCTTTAAGAGCCGGTCCCGGGGTGAGGGCGGAAGGCGGCGGCGGCGCGACCCACCCGCACCCTGCACCCCGCCCCCCCCCCGCGGCAGCCGCCTCAGCTTCACCCCGAGCCCGGGCTCCGCTGACGTCACCTGCCCCCGAGCCGCGCGCGCTGATTGGCTGCAGGTGACGTCAGGGGCTTTTTTCGCTCGGCATGACCTCATCCCCGCCGGCGGCCCCGCCCTCCGCCCCGGGCCTGTCACTCGCGGCCGAGCGCGGCGGCCGAGCCGGCTCCCCCCACGACGCCCCGCCGGACGCCGGACGCCCGAGCCCGAGCCCGAGCCCGAGCCCGAGCCGCGCCGGAACCTCCCGGCCGCGCCCGCCGAGCCGCGGGGCTGGGATGCGCGCCGCGAGCGCGCGTGCCCGCCCGCAGTGCGCGCGCCCCGGCCCGAGCGAGCGCTCCCCGCGGCGTTGGCGGCGGCGACGGCGGCGACGGCGACGCGGCCCGCGCGCTCCCCCGGCCCCTGCCCCGGCTGCGCGGGCCCCCGCCGGGCCCATGGACGGCGCGGCCGAGCGGGCGCCCTGAGCGCGGCGCGGGTCCCCGGAGCGCCCCCGAGGCGAGCGCGAGCGAGGTGAGCGGAGGCGCCGGCGGGGCGGGGGCGGGCGCCGGGGATGGGGTTCACCGGCCCGGGCCGGGGGGCGGAGGGCGCCGCGTCGGGGGCGCTGGGGCAGCGGCACCCGGTGGGCGCCCGGGAGGAGGAGGCGGCCCCGGAATGAGCGGCCACGGCCGTCCAGGACGCCAGGGACAGGGAGGCCCCTTCCCCGCCCCCCGCAACGCCCGGCGGACCCGGGCCCAGCCCACGCCCGCCCGCCGCGTTGCCGCCCTTCTCCCCGCAGCTCCTTCTTTGGGTGTGGAATGGGGGGGGGACAAAAATCCAGGACCCACCAGGGCCGCCTGAGATCCAGCGCGGATCTGCGCGAGCCCCCGACGTCCCGAACGTCACCCCCGCGGGGGCCAGAACCGGAGCAGGCGGACCCTGGCCCGGAGTCGGTCCGGGAGGTGTGGAGCCTCGGCCGTGGGAGGGACGCGACGGCCTCTGGCCTGGGACACCCGGGAAGGGGCCTTCCCCTGTCGGGGGGGAGGGCTGCAGATCCATCCCCCCAGTGTCCAGGCCGCACTGCCTCCCCATCCCGGGGTGCCCAGCCGGCCCCTGAGGGATAAAGCCCCCGCGCCCTTCCGCCTGCTGCAGAGGCAGCCGCGGCGCTGGGGGAGGGGCTGGCACAGCCAGGCTGCTGCAGCCACCTCGCTAGGCCCAGCTGCCCAGCCTGGGATGCGGAGCAGACCAGGTGGGGATACCTAATAGTCTGGCCTGGAGGGGAGGGGGCAACAATAGGCCCAGCCCCAACAGGGTCACCCCTTCTGGGAGAATCTGCCTCCGTCTCCCTGCTGCGGGGTGTACCGGCCTCTGCTGAGGGGAATAGGGGCTCTGGTGCTGCAGTGATGGGGGGCGGGGACACTGTGGGATGGAGGAGGGGGTGGCAGGATGTAGCGTGGCTCCGCAGTGCTCTTGCTGTGCAGCTTGGGGTGGGGGTGGGGTGCTGCAGGCCAGGGAAGCTCCTTTTGTGCCCCAGCGGGGGGTCTGAGGGGAGATCCAAACCCCGGCACTCTCCCTTGCCTCCCTTCTGGCACAGCCCACCCAGAGACACTGTTGCACCTAGGGCGGTCCAGGGGTGAATGTAGCACCCCAGGCCCCAGCCCTCCACCAGGAGGACAGTCCCATGCATTCACTGCTAATAAGCACTGGATGCGGATGGCAGATCATGTGACCCCAGCTGGAAGTTCATCCTGAAGTCTCGCTGAAATACCTCCTGCTGCAGCCAGCCGGGGGCTGCACGAGTGTGGCTGGGCAGGTTCTATTCCCCTGGTATCCTCTGTCCTCGGGGAGGCTTCTGGGAATAAAGTCCCATTAACAGAGGTGCAGAAAGACGCTTAGAGTCAGTCTCTGCTCCAGGACCCTTCTCTTCTCAGGCTGGGGCTGAAGTCAGGGCCTAGAGGCTGCCACTGGACAGGTGCCTCGAAGGGGCATCAGCTAGGGCCTGGGGAGACCTAGGTGTCACTTCTTGCAGAAGGCAGGGAAAGGGGCAGACCCACAGTGAGAGAGAGGTGGTTGGACTCTGGCCATGAGAACTGCACCCGCTGAGGCCCCCTCTGCCGGAGTTGCTCAGGGCAGTGAACCTTGGAAGCGCCACACTGGTCCTGATGTTTAGCATGTGGCACAGTGACCAGGAGGAGGGACACAGGTCTGGTGGGAAGGGAGGGAACCTGGATATGTCCGGCTCTGAGACTCGACTGTCACGGCCCCTTGTGCCAAGTCCTCCCATCCCCTGCCCTGCCCGGACCCCGTTCCTGGGATCGGAGGGAGCCCCCCGCCCCACCCCACTTTCTCCCAGGTCCACAGCTTCCCCAGGCCAGCGGAGCAGAGTGTAGGCCAGCTTGGGTCCTACAGCACTAGCCAAGGGAGCTGAGGGGAGGCAGGGATGAGGGCATCTGGGGGAGCCCAGTGAGGGAAGATGAGCTGACCTGTGTGAGTGCAGGGTCCCTGCCTCCCAGAGTTGCCACCCACCAGTCTCTCCTCAGCCTCCTTAGTGTGACGATTTCTGCCTCCAGAAGCATCCCTGGGTAACAGTGAGCCGGACAGCTCCAAGAGCCTGCCTAGGTGTGAGGGGGAGACACAGTCCCATCCCCCCATGCTTGACAGTCCTGGCAGCTGTCTCTGAAGGTAGTGAGTCCCCATTTCTAGGTGCTGAGCAGAAGGTAACATGGTAAGGATGCTGTCAGTTGAGAGCTGGGGGTGGCCTGGGACTCCCTGGTCCCGTCTGTGCTCAGGGACAGGAATGTGCTGCACAGAGACGCTGGGTGTGGGAGCTCGTGTTTGTAAGGAGTCTGAAGCTGACCCCTCGGGTACTGGAGTCCTGGGGTTCTCAGGGGATCCTGCATACAGAGGGCAAGGACGTGCGTGTACTCTAGTGTATGTCCAGCCCACGCGTGTGCACATATTCACGCGTGGGTACTTGCACACAGGGCAGGTGGATTGTGGGTAAGGAGCACCAGCCCTGTGTGTGGAGTGGGTGTGCAAAGAGGTGTGTTCTGGCACGCACAGAGGGCAGTGTGCACGCAGCACTGGAGCCAGGCGTGCTGTGTCCCAGGGGAGGGTGGCGGCCTGGTGCCTCCTGGAAGGTGTGGGCCTGGGAGGAGCCTTCTTCTGACTTTGGACTTGGAAACTGCTTCCTCCTGGGCTCAAAGACTTTTGAAAAGGGTGTATGGGGCTGTGCTAGGGGGCATCCTGTCCCCAGCCCTGCCTCTCACCCCCCAACCCCTAGGCACTGGAATAGCAGGGCCACAGGTACTCAGGAGGGCTTGGCATGTGGGGCCGTGAAAGGAGAGGCATGGAACCAACACCATCCACATTTCCTTACCTCTGTTCCCACATGGCCAGTGCTGGCCCCACTGATCTGCACCAGACTGTCCTTAGTGTCTCTGCTCCCCACCCCACCCAACCTGCCCCATCCCTGGCATAGCTGAGCCCCGATCCTTAGCATCTGGGGAGACAGAGGTGAGGAACATGTCCCCCTGGGAGCTGTAGGTCCAGGGAGACCCTGTGGGTGAGGATGCTCTCCCAGAGGCCAGCATGGCACAGAGGCTTCCTGCAGGAGGGGGCACTCGGCCAGCCCTTCGCAGTACAGAGAAGGCCTCTGAGGGGGCGGGGAGCCGGCGAGCTGCAGGGAGCATGCTGGGCACAGCAGGTACCTGGAGTGGGAAGGAAGGTTAGGACCAGGTAGGGCAGAGGAGCGGAGGGGCTGAGGACTGGGCTCTGCACTGCCGGGCACCTGCTGGGGTGGGTAGGAGAGAGCAGGGAGGGGCGCGTGCCCACTCTGCAGAGGAGCCTGCTCCATGGTGGTGGCTGCCGCAGGAGCAGCGGTTGCCTGGCACCTCTGCTGTTGCCATGGTGACGATGGAGGTGCTAACTTGCTAATGAATCCCCTTCGGCTGCAAATAACAATACTATTGTGGGTGATAGGCCCAGCTCCAGCTCAGCGTTGCTTAGGAGGCAGAGCAGGGCCAGGTAAAGGCCAGGACCCGTCCTCCCGCCCCTCCAGCCCCTGCCCACCACCCTGCAGCTGGACTTGCCCTCCTCCCTCCCCTCCCTCTGGGTCTCAGATCTGGCTGGCTGCACCGAGGTCTCTCATGGCAGTGTCAGGACTCAGGGCTGCATGAAGGCTAGGCCCTGGCTGCAGAGAGGGCGAGGGCCTCTCCTCACACCTGCCCTCCTCCCTGCACTGGGGGGTATTTGCTTCTGTTGTTTTCAGTGAGAGAGAATCCACCCCCACTTAACGGATGAGGACATTGAGGCCGGGGCAGCTCCTCAAAAGACCCCCAGCCCAAGTGTCCCTGCCACTGCAGCCTTCTCGGGGTTCTGGGTCTCTGAGCTGGACCCTTGGGTATCCTACGGGGCACCTGGAGCCGCTGTCTCACCAGAACCACACATCTGGGCCCTCGCCTCTCACCACCTGTGCAAGGCTCAGGTAGAACTCGGGAAGGACAAACAGCTCATCAAGGACCCCCTGTGGGTAGTCAGGGACCCCCTTGGCAGGCAGAGACCCTCCACAGCAGGCAGGCAGCAGGCCCTTTTGCTGTTGAACTTGCTGGGTCTGGCCCTGGAGAGGACTCCCAGGCCTCGTTCCCCACCCTGTGGTGGAGGCTGGAGCACCAGCCCAGGAACGTTATCTGAGTGGGATCCTGAGGCCCTGCTGACCAGGTGCCACTGCAATCCCTGGTGTCAGCCGTGGGGTCAGCTGAGGCTGCCCATCCACAGTCAGGTGTTTCCCTGGCCTCTGGCAACAGGAGGGATGGTGGGAATGCACAGAAGCCTGGGCCCAGTCGAGGCGGGAGGGGCCAGGCAGGGGCCAAGCTTGAAGTGTCTGGAGAAGGAGAGTGAGTGCGAGGCTGGGGCTCCTGGGCAGGGAGGAGCTGGGACCTGCCCCTCAGTGTGGAGTTGGGGCTGGGCCAGGGACGAGGTCCACACCAGCCTTGCACCTGCTGCTCTGTGAACTCTCTCACTGGCCCCCGCCGGCCTGGGAGCTGACCTGGAGAGTCCAGAAACGGTGGTGGCCTCTGTCCCCAGCCTGCTGTTTGCAGTGCATGGGTGTCCTCAGGGCGCCTCCCCCCAGTGCCTCCTGTGGCTGTGGGTTGGGGGTCTGGCTTGCTGAGGGCCCGCTACCCACCGTAGCCCGCTTTGCACAGGGCGCAGGGCCCAGGGTACATCTATCTCCCAGCCTTCCCTCAGTCCTGAGCTGGGTGGAGTAAACTTCCTGACTGCCTGGCAGCTGTGGGGGCACAGGGAAGATGGCATTGCAGGGACACCCAGTGCCCATCTGTGTGTGACCCAGGTGTGACCCAGGTCCCAACCCTGCCCCAAGCCTCGGTTTCCCCATAGTTAAAGCAAACTCATCATCCTTAACACTATGCGCCTCCTAGGGGCTGTGAGTGTAAAGTGGACCCAGAGGAAGGCCAGTCCTGGCAGGTGACAGGGAGATGGGGCCCGGCAGTGGGGCAGTGACAGGCTTGTCATCAAGCCTGCAGGAGGGGCTTCCGGAGACTCCATCCTCAGACATCCCTACTCCACCTGCCCACCCGGCAGTCTGAGGCCTTTGCAGGCCATGCCGAGGGCCTGGCACCTGCGGGGTCCCCGACACTGACCCTCCTCCCAGGGCTGCCCCGCCCCTCCCATCCTGGGCCCTATCAGCCCATGAAGGAGCCTCCTAGACCCCAGGCTCCGCTAGGGGAGAGGCACTGTGTGGGTGCAACACGCCCCTGCAGGAGCTGGGCACTCACCCCCAGCAGGCACGTGGCGCACACTAAACCTCAGCCTGCAGGTCAGGAGGGCAGCAGTGGCAAAGGAGCCGTGCCTCTGTGCCTGAGCCCCTCCCGCACCCGCCTGCTATCCGGCTGCCCCCGGGAGCCCACTCTCCAGTGGAGGCAGCCCCAAGGCCACCATCCACCAGGGGCTGGATTATCGGCTTACGGAGCTGCCCTGGAGTCAAGTCTCCAGGGATTGGACTCCCTGGGGCTGTGCTAGGGAGAGAGGGGCAGGTGTGAGGACAGCAAGCCCGGAGGAGGGCAGAGAGCTTGACCATGTGGGAGGGTGAGGTGCAGTCCAGACCCCGACTTGCTGGGGGTCCTGTGGTGGAAAAGATGCAGAAGTCACAGCAGGGAGATGCCTGTGTCCCAGGGATGAGATGGAATGTTCTGGAATGCCTAAGGGTCCGTGAACCCCAGGGCCCACAGGAAGGACCCCTGGCCTCTTCCAGCCCTCAGACCCTTCTCTGTGGGGCCCATTTGCCCCCCTCTGCCTTGTTGCATCCTGCTGAGAGCTGGCCTTGTGACCTGGACGGGGTCTCTCCAGAGGGAGAAGGGTTCCCACGGGCACATGTTGGTGTGTCCTGGTGGGCGCAGCTCCCAGCTCTGATCTGTCCTGGGGAGCTTCTGGGTGCCACCCAGGGGCCCGCAGCACTGCTGACCATCCCCCTGTCCCTGCAGGTCCAGCACCATGTGCTAGGTCACTCCCAGCGCGAGGCCACACCTGGGCCGTCGGAGCAGCCCCTCCTCACTTCAGGGGTCACCCTCCCCAGCACCCATTGCCCCACCATGGCTGGGGACCGGCTCCCGAGGAAGGTGATGGATGCCAAGAAGCTGGCCAGCCTGCTGCGGGGCGGGCCTGGGGGGCCGCTGGTCATCGACAGCCGCTCCTTCGTGGAGTACAACAGCTGGCATGTGCTCAGCTCCGTCAACATCTGCTGCTCCAAGCTGGTGAAGCGGCGGCTGCAGCAGGGCAAGGTGACCATTGCGGAGCTCATCCAGCCGGCTGCACGCAGCCAGGTACCCAGCCCACTGCCCACCAGGCATGCATCACGTCCAGGGTCCACAGCTAAGGGGCCCTCAGCTCGGGCAGCACCCCCCTCCTCTGCCTTCCAGTCCAAACTCGACTCCTTGGGGTCACAGCCAGGGGCGTGTGGAGCAGTCCTCCCTGGCACTTGCCTCTCACCGCTGCCTGTTGCCCCTGCTCAGGGCATCCCCCGCACCCCCGCCCGCAGCACCCTTCCCTACCCTCCCTCCAGGGCCTCCTTGCTCAGCTTCTGCACAGAGGTGCCGGGCCCTCCCCACGCAGATAGGACTGTGTGGCCAGGGCCAACCCAGGCTCACAGAGGGGAGCAGTGAGTGGAATAGCAAGGTGTGACCACATGGCAGTGGGAGCAGCCCAGCTGGCCTACACGGGACAGGGACAGCTGTGTGGTCCACTTCCACTGCTGTGAGGACAGGAGGGGTGGTCAAAAGGCACACGTGAGCAGTCCATGTCCCCGTCCCACAGCTTCCCCCAGCCCGCAGAGTATTCAGGGACCCAGAATTCTCTCTGTGGCCCCCCAGGAATGTCCTTCTGGGGAAGGACAGCTCATTCTGCCCAGGACCATCAGGTGCAGCTGGGGAGGGACCAGCGGGGCTGTTGACCTGTGAAGGTGGCGGCACCTCCTCCTTCTACTGCCTCGCAGGGGACAAGGGTGACAAGCTCTTGGCCCTGGAGGCTTTGAGAGGGGTCTGGGTCACTGATAGGCCCTGTTCAGAGCTGGGACATGGGAGGACTCAAGTGGGATGGCCACTGGCCAGGAGTCCGCCCACCCCAAGGCCAGAATCGGCTCCCTTTGGTTTCCAACAAGGGGAATCTGGTGATTAATGACCCCCAGCAAGGACTCCCGGCAGAGTGCGATCCCATTGGCTGCCGGTGACGTCACCCAGCCCAGGGTTGGCGGCTCAGCTGGCTTAAGGGCTGAGTGTGTGCTTGCAGGGCGGGGGCACCGGTGCTGTCTGAGCAAAAGCCGCTCAACATCTGGGCTGGCCCTTGGGGTGGGGGAGGAGGGCAGGAGGAACCCAGCTTCCAGCTGCTGCCTCCGGAATTGGTGCAGGGGCCTGGGGTCCTGCTGCAGCCCTCTGTTTCTCCGCTGGGGGTTGGGGAGGGGATAGGGTGGGGAGCAGAATTGCTGGCTACACAGTTAGCCCCACTGAGAGCCCACACCCGAAGGCATGCGTTTCAGGGCCGAGCTTCTCTGTCCCTCCGCCACCCTGGGAGCCAGCCAGGTCCTATCCTGGGCTCCCATCGCACTCACCTGTGTCTCCTCCACACAGGCCTGGCCCAGAGCGTCCGTCCCCTTCACCCATGTGCATGGCATGGGGGCACAGCTGCGCAGGGCAGGAGTCCACCCCTCCCTGCCCCCATGGCTTGCTGTGTGGTGTGGGTGTGTGCATCTGGGCCTCTGGCAGATGGAGGAGAGTGTGTGACTGCACCTGCCCTCCCCTCCAGGCAGCAAGGTGACAGCTGCCTGCCTCCCATCATCTGATGCCCTTACTATTCCCTTGAGCCAGCATATCTGGGACGGGGCCAGGGCATCGATAGGTGGAGGCGGCATGCTGATCTCTGCCCCATGGCCCCCAGGTGGAGGCTACGGAGCCACAGGACGTGGTGGTCTATGACCAGAGCACGCGGGACGCCAGCGTGCTGGCCGCAGACAGCTTCCTCTCCATCCTGCTGAGCAAGCTGGACGGCTGCTTCGACAGCGTGGCCATCCTCACTGGTGAGTCCATGACCCACGCCTCCCCGAGGCACTTGCTCCGCCAGCAGTGGGGCTGGGGCTGGGGCTGGGGCATCAGGGAGGTGTCCGCTGGGCACGGGGGGATCTCCATACATCTGTGGTTCTTGAGGCCCCACCATCCTCTCCCCAGGACGCCCACACTTCAGGACCCACCAATATGACTATCCTCAACACAGAAGGAAACCTCACAGTACAGCTGGGCTCCAGAGGTGTAGGGCAAGGCATGCAGGCTGGGAGCCCCTCCCACTCCCGGAGCTCCTGTCAGAAGCCGGAGGCAGAGGCCCCATCCTCTGGAAACTCAGTTGGAGCCGTGGGGTCCCGAGGAAGTCCCCCCACCTCCGAAAGCCCAGCTGAGTGCAGGTTGCCTGGCAACAGCCTGGCACCAAGGCTGCTGCCTGGGTCCCAGCAGACAGCCCCCAGGGATCCCTGTGGCCCAAAAGCAGCCTGGGCAACTGGCCCCAAGCCCTGGAGGCAGGGAAGCCGCCCCCCTACACACGCTGATACACACTCATATACACTCACACACTCGTGGTCCCAGAGGGTTCTTTCTTTCCTTGGGCTGTGGCTGAGGGCGTGTCTGTAGAATCCACCTCCTGGGGTCGGCCCAGGTCCCAGAGCCGGACGGAGCTGGCCTGTCCCAGGGATGTGCACCCTCCCCCATCCAGGTCTGGGGTCTTTGTCCAGGCTCCTTCTGCCTGGCCTCTGCTACCAGGGGCTGTTCCAGGCAAGCAGAGGATATGGGGGACTGTGGGGTGCAGGCACGGTGGGGTGAGGAGTAGGCAGCCAAGCCAGGCCCTTGGCCCTGCATCCAGTGGAAGCAGGGACCTTCACCCAGCCTGAGGGCGACTGTGGGGGATGAAGGGGTGGCAGCCGCTTTGGCCAGGCCGACCTCCCGACATGGCATGTCCTGGGACCTAAAGGGCACCTGGGAGGCTTGAGGGTGGTCCAGTGTCCTGGGCAAGAGCATTGAGGCCAGGCTCCCTCCCCACCTCTCTGTGGGTGAGACCAGCACCCTGCACTGCTGGGTGGCCATGGTCAGAGGGTGTCTGTGCGTCTGTGCATGGCTCTGGGCGTCTGGTGACCAGCATCTGCCTCTGCGAGTGTGTACGTGAGCATGTGTGTGCATGTATGTGTGTGTGTGCATGTGCATGCATGTATGTGTGTGCATGTACATGTGTGCATGTATGGGCATATGCATGCCTGTGTGTGCGCATATGTGCATGTACGTGTGTGCACGTGTATATGCATGTATATACATGGAGGTATATTTGTGTATGTACCCGCCTGTGCTTGTCTGGGTGAGATTTGGGATTTGTGTGCATATGTGTGAACTCTCAGAACCAGAAGCCACAGAATGACGCACTCTGATCCAACCCTGTTCCCCTAGGTCCAGTTTGAGGACTGAACTGGTGGGGGGCGGGGAGAGAGTAGTTTGGGGCTTTTTACAGCTCACCAGGTGTAACAGGACCCCTCCCAAAGGCCAGTTTGCTGCCCTAGCCAGGAATGGGAGTCAGGAGACTCTTCTTGGAGGCTGAGAAAGGTCCCAGAGTGGCACCTCCCTACCTGCAGGCAGATCCCAGGAAAGTCCCAAGCCTGGAAGGGCCTGTCTCCCTCGAGGCCAGAGTGGGACGGTTTGGGGGGCTGGGGCCCTCACCCAGCACTGGTGGGTGGGACAGCATGGGTGTGCAGGTGGGCGTGGATGAGTATGGGCATGGGAGGGGCCGGGCCTGTGCTAGGATTTGCCAGGAGGGCACTCCCAGGGCCTGGTCATGCCACCCTCAGAACTGCCTTTCTGTGCTGACATCTGCCCTGCAAGGTTGAGGCTGTGTCCCCTTTTCTCCAGAAGTGCAGCTGCCAAGGAGTCCCAGGCCCCGTGGTATACAGTGGGCTCATGGCGACACCCAGGCAGGCCCACGGGCTCTGCCCTCAGGCTCCCTCCCACCCTGTGGTGGGCACAGCCCCTGCTCTGGGCTGGCTCTGCGAAGAACCAGGGAGAGTGGGAAAGAATATATTGGGGGGGGCAGGGGTGCTGCCCCTCACCCAGGAGAAGGGATGTTCCAGGATCCCGCGGCACAGGCAACACAGCTCCTTGGTCCATTTGCAGGGACAGTAGAGGCCGGAATGTGAGGACCAAGCCTCTGTCCTCCCCACAGCAGGGCAGGTTTGCGGGAAGCGGGAGAGAAACAGTGGCAGGACAGGCTGTGCTGGGGTCCCAGGACTGCTGTGAAGCCCACCTCCCCCTGCCGCTCCTCTTCCCCCACTCCAGCTGCGCTGCTCACGATGTTGGGGGGCAAGCGGCAAGGGATGAGAGAGGGGCCTGGCCCTTTAAGCAGCGGCCCGCAGTCGGCCTTGGACCCTTGGCCGGGCGACTGCACTGCAAGTGGGTGGGGTGGCGGCCCCCGCCCTGGCGGGGAGTCCAGGGGTCATGGAGGTGGCGGGCAGAAGTGCGTCTGTGACTGTGGCCATAAGCGCTTGCAGGGTCTCCCAGGTGGCATGGGGCAGGCACATGTCCTGGTACACACGCCTTTTTTCAAGTCTGGGATTTCACTGTGAGTAACAGGTGAACTGCAGGCGCTGCCCCAGAAACCCCCGAGTCAGGGAGCAGGGATACTGGGAAGGCGCCTTTGGAGATGCCTGGGGGTAGGGGTGCCTCCCCAGGGCCCAAAGAGTGCTGGGACCTACAAAGGGTCCACTGAACCCCAACACCCCTCACTTATCACTCACCCCCAGAGCCTGGGTGGTTCTGAAATCCCTGGAGCCTCGGTCCCTGCTAGGCCTGGCATCCACAGTGGGGTGTGTAGGGACATCCACACTACCTGCTCCGCCTGGGGAGGTCCTGGGAAGCTTCCTGGGGAATTGCTGACATAGCTGTCGGTTCTCTGCACCTGTCCAGAGACTTTCCTGCCTTTACCTCCTCTGGGAGAGGTGGGAGGGTACTGATGGAATCCCCAGCACCTCCTCCTTTGGCCAGGCCCTGGAGAAAGCAGAGAGTAAGGCACAAAATCCCTGGGAGAGCCACAGGGAGGAGGAGAGGCAGCAGGTGGCAGAAGAGTCTGCAGAGAAGTGGTGCAGCCCTTCCGCCTCCCCGGGGCTGTCCTGCAGCGGGAACATCCAGGGCTACCCCAGCTCAGAACAGTGAGTGGAAGCCAGCTACAGTGCCCATCCCAGCCTCTGCTCAGGGGAACCTGCAAGCTGGGGCGTCGTTGGTGACAAGTCACCTACCTGCTTTCCCCTGTCCAGTCAGCAGGTTCCCACAGAAGAGACTGTTCCTCCAAGGCTGCTGCCTCAACCCACCCAGCCTGGAGCTTCCCCTATCTCCACAGTCCCCCAGCGTCACGCCCTTTTTAGGGACACGGGGAGCTGGCACAGCAGGTGTTCTGGTTGGGGGTTTGCACACACTCCCCTGTCCTCAGGAGTTATCCAGGGTGGCTCTACTCCACCCAGCAGGGGAGAATGGAGAGAGGAGGAGCCCTAGGCACTGGGGGCACGCGGGGCAGGCAGTGGGCACCTGCTACACATGTGGCACCAGCCTCTTCTGCAAACCAGGACAAAAAAGAGCCCTGGGGTTCCCAGGCCCTGAGCTCCCGCCGTCACTCCCCTGCCCCGTCCAATGGGATAGGGCAGGCCTCAGCCCAGCTGCCTCAGGCTCTGCACAAGCAGGAGCCGGCTTGCCATGGGGGCTTATGTTCTGGAAGGTGTCCTCGGGGTGGTGCTGGGCCATGCTGGCTTCACCCTCCCAAGAGCTGGCAGCCACCAGGTGGGTGCTGCCCAGTTTCTGGTCCACATCGGTGGTCGCCCCAGCCAGGTCAGGGACGGCCAGGTCCATTCTCACCATGTGTCTTCGTGCTCATTATCTTCTTGGAACCACATGATGCTGTGTGGCAGGCAGGAGGAGGAAGCTGAGACCAGAGCCATGGTGTGCACTACCCATGGTCACTGAGTCAGACATCCAGGGATTCACGTTCGGGTCCTTCCAGCTGGTGCAGGGCAGGGGACTTCCTCCCACCAGCCTGTGGCCTCGGACTTGGACGTGTGTGGAAGGCAGCAGCACACGCTGGTCACGTGTGCAGCGGGTGCCCACTGCCTGCTCTGCGTGCCCCCAGTGCCCCGGGCTTCTCCACTCTCCGTCCTCCCCTGCTGGGTGGAGTACAGCCATAACCAGACAGCAAATGCCCCGAGGGCTGTGCCAGGGTGATGTCATGCCTGGGGACGGGGAGGGCCTCTCGGAAGCCCTGGCCTCCTGGTCCTGGCACCCAAGCCCAGGCCTGGGGCTCCCAGCCAGCTGGAGGCAGGGAGGCATTGCATCAGTGCAGGGGAGGAGGAAGGCCCAGCCTGGCCCCAGGCCATGGGTATGGGAGATGGCCGGGCTCGTGAGGGCCTCTCCTCTGGGCTGTGTGACACACACCCTCAGCAGGAGACCCCTGTGGCCTCTGAGCCCACCCCTGCCTGGGCCCAGCGCGTGCCGTGATGGCCAGCCACCTCAACGCCACCTTTACGGGCATCCTAGCGGCGTCCTCAGCTGGGTCAGCCCCTAATTAGCATGAGGAGGAATGTGGGCGTAGGTGCAGGCTGTAAATGTGTGGCAGTACCCCCTCCCCCCACCGCGGGCAGAGCAGGTGCTCCGCCAGAGGCTTGCCGGCTGGGCTCAGGCTCGGGTCTGGGCTGGGTGTGACTGATCCTCAGCAGTAGATGGGGTGCCCTAGGCGGACAGGGCACCCTAGGCGGACAGGGAGCCCTAGGTGTTCTCTCAACCCACTTGACGGCCCTCCTCCTACAGGGGGCTTCGCCACCTTCTCCTCCTGCTTCCCCGGCCTCTGCGAGGGCAAGCCTGCTGCCCTGCTACCCATGAGCCTCTCCCAGCCCTGCCTGCCTGTGCCCAGCGTGGGCCTGACCCGCATCCTGCCTCACCTCTACCTGGGCTCGCAGAAGGACGTCCTAAACAAGGTGTGTGTGCAGTGGAGTTCGGGGGGTGGTCAATGGGAAAGGGGCAGGAGCTCCAGAAGCAGCTTGGCAGCGGAGCGGGGGATGAGGGAGGAAAGGAGCTGAAGGCAGTGGATGAGCTGGGTGTGGGAGAAGCATGGGTGGGGGCCCAGGAGGACCCCAGGCTCCCCACCCATGCCCCTGGAAGGACCACAGCAGGGCTTGCGGGAGGGCCCGGCAGGGCTCGGGGGAGGAGCGGGGAGCTGGCATGCCAAGCTGCGGATGTCACTGGGCCTCTGGCCAGCTCTGAAAGAATCCCATGTTTTAAAAATGGTGACGAGGGAAAAGGGTAAAAGCCACCACCCAGGCAATCATAAAATTCCTAGGAGCCCACCACCAGCCGTGGGTGGGGCCTGCAGTCGGAGGCCAGCCGTGCCCCACCCCCCGCACGGGCCCAGGGTGCCAGGGTGGACCAGAGAGGCCTCCTGGGCCCTCCCCTGGATACACTGGGATCTGGGACAAATTCCAAGGCTCCCAGGATTCTAAAGGCCCTCCTGACGGCAGGGCAGGAAAAGCCTCCACCTTCACTCCCGCCCCGAGCTTCTCCCACCCCTTTCCAACCCGCCCTCCCGCCCCTCCAGGATCTGATGACGCAAAATGGAATAAGCTACGTCCTCAACGCCAGCAACTCCTGCCCCAAGCCTGACTTCATCTGCGAGAGCCGCTTCATGCGGGTCCCCATCAACGACAACTACTGTGAAAAACTGCTGCCCTGGCTGGACAAGTCCATCGAGTTCATCGGTGAGTCTGCGGTGGGCGGAGGGCAGGGACCTGGCTAGAGGAAGGCTAGAGCTGTGTGTGGCCACAGACACAGGAGGGGTCCCCAGGAAGTAGCCGGAACTGTTGGCAGTTGGGCGGGTGGGGTCCCCTACCTGGGCCAGGGAGAAGCTGTGCAGTCTTAGCCCTCACCTGGCCCCCATGGCCCACCTGCCCAGATAAAGCCAAGCTCTCCAGCTGCCAAGTCATCGTCCACTGTCTGGCTGGCATCTCCCGCTCTGCCACCATCGCCATCGCCTACATCATGAAGACCATGGGCATGTCCTCCGACGACGCCTACAGGTACCACCTTCCCCAGTCGCGCACTTGTGGCTCACAGCGTCGCTTCCCTTCCCCCGGCTGCCCACTTGCACCAGAATGACCCCACCGTCCAGGACCCGTGGCAAGGGAGGAGGGCCTGAGACCAGCCTGGCGCACATGAGCTCGTGGGTGCCCAGCGGGTGCGTCAGGTGGGCAGCCTGGCCCCGGCGGGCGCCTGGGACTGAGCCTCCTCCCCCGCAGGTTCGTGAAGGACAGGCGCCCGTCCATCTCGCCCAACTTCAACTTCCTGGGCCAGCTGCTGGAGTACGAGCGCAGCCTGAAGCTGCTGGCCGCCCTGCAGGGCGACCCGGGCACCCCCTCAGGGACGCCGGAGCCTCCGCCCAGTCCTGCCGCCGGGGCCCCGCTGCCACGGCTGCCACCACCTACCTCAGAGAGCGCTGCCACAGGGAATGCGGCTGCCAGGGAGGGCGGCCTGAGCGCGGGCGGGGAGCCCCCCGCGCCCCCCACGCCCCCGGCGACCAGCGCACTGCAGCAGGGCCTGCGCGGCCTGCACCTCTCCTCGGACCGCCTGCAGGACACTAACCGCCTCAAGCGCTCCTTCTCCCTGGACATCAAGTCTGCCTACGCCCCTAGCAGGCGGCCCGACGGCCCCGGGCCCCCCGACCCCGGCGAGGCCCCGAAGCTCTGCAAGCTGGACAGCCCGTCGGGGGCCGCGCTGGGCCTGTCCTCGCCCAGCCCGGACAGCCCGGACGCCGCGCCTGAGGCGCGCCCACGGCCCCGCCGGCGGCCCCGGCCCCCCGCCGGCTCCCCCGCGCGCTCCCCCGCGCACAGCCTCGGCCTGAACTTCGGCGATGCGGCCCGGCAGACTCCGCGGCACGGCCTCTCGGCCCTGTCGGCGCCCGGGCTGCCCGGCCCTGGCCAGCCGGCCGGCCCCGGGGCCTGGGCACCGCCGCTCGACTCCCCAGGCACGCCGTCGCCCGACGGGCCCTGGTGCTTCAGCCCCGAGGGCGCACAGGGGGCGGGCGGGGTGCTGTTTGCGCCCTTCGGCCGGGCGGGCGCCCCGGGACCAGGCGGCGGCAGCGACCTGCGGCGGCGGGAGGCAGCGAGGGCTGAGCCCCGGGACGCGCGGACCGGCTGGCCCGAGGAGCCGGCCCCGGAGACGCAGTTCAAGCGCCGCAGCTGCCAGATGGAGTTCGAGGAGGGCATGGTGGAGGGGCGCGCGCGCGGCGAGGAGCTGGCCGCCCTGGGCAAGCAGGCGAGCTTCTCGGGCAGCGTGGAGGTCATCGAGGTGTCCTGACCCCTCCGCTGCCCTCGGCCCCGCCGCCCGCAGCCAGGCCCGTTATAAATGTATATTATATATAATGCAAAGAAAGGTAAATGGTTTTACTGGGATTTTTATCGAGAAGTAAATATTTCGATTTTTTATTTATTTAAGCTGTTCATTCTGGCAATGATTTGGCAACAGTGCGGGTGGTCCTCGAGCTCTATTTTTACTGTCTGGTATTTAAACTGAAACATACGTTTCTAAGCAATACGAGGCCACCTTCAGTCGCAAGCTGGGTGCCAGGCCTGGGGCCCCTCCCAGTTCCCCCGCCCCAGGAAACACTGCTGACCTTTGCAAAGGCTGCCGAGCTTTCGTGCACTTTTTACATAACAAAAAGGTGAAAAAAAGGAAAAAAAAACTTCTTTGCCACAAACTGAGCCGCAGAACCCCCCTTCTCCCCCCACCCACCTCCCCTGCTCCCTCCCTTCTCTGCGCCGGCCTAGGGCTCTGCACCAAAGCCATAGGATGGAGGAGCAGGAGCTGGTGTGCCCCGGAGAGGTGCGGCCAGCCCTCCATCAGCTCCAGGCACCAAATCTTGGTGGCAAGGAGGGCACCCCGCTGCCCGTTGCCCCAGAGCTGTTCTCTGGCAGGGGAGGACAGGCATTGGGCTTCATGGTGCCAGGGTGTTCAGAGGGGCTGAGAAATAGAACAGTGTGTGTAGGGGCTTCGGGCAGGGGGTTCTGGAACGTCAGATGAGGTGCAGCCCAGGGGAGGACAGAGGTGTTAGTGCCCCCAACTCCTGCCAGAGCCCCAGTCCAGCCACAGAGTGGCTCAGAAAGGCCATTCCTAGAGGGCTGCGGCCCTCCCTTCTCCCTTGCCCATGCCCCCAGAGCTGCCTGCCGGGCAGGGTGGCACCATTGCAGGAGAGGAGCTTGGCCTCCGGGGGTCAGGCAGGAGGCGCCTGGCTAGCCAGTGCTGGCTCCACTGGGCAGGAAGCCCTGGACCCCCAGGTATGAGGAGGGGGTGGTCTTAGGGTTCTGTTCCAGGTCTGCCCCGCCCCCCTCCCAGCCATGCCCCAGGCAGAACTTGGAATTCAGGTGTGCACCTGCAGGCTGAGGGGCTCTGTGAGCAGGTGCTGCTCACACAGGGAGTTCAGGCGCCAGCCAAGCCCCTGTGCTGCTGGGATAGGCCTGCTTCACTTAGGGAGCACTGCCTCAAGACAGGTAAAGCCCCCTCGTTTGCCCCCACCCCCATGGGGCCGCTCAGGAGAGAAACTCCCATTCACCCCTTTCCCAGGGTGCTCTCTCTCTAGGTGGCATGCCAGCCCCCAAACACAAGTGGCTTTTGGGCCCAGGTGGGTCAGCCTGCTGCCCCTGCCCCATACCCCCTCGGGCCATTGGGACCCCTGCCCTTCAGATGTCCTAGGGTCTAGGAGTGGGGCCAGTCACTGTGGGAAGAGGCCAGGGGCTTGGCCGGAGAGGCAGCCCAGGGCAGGACCCAGTCCTGAGTCCTGGAGCAGGGCCAGGGAGGCGCCCATCCCGCCCCAGCCAGCCGCCCTCTCTGCTGTTTCTTCTATTTGTTCTTCTTTTCACCCACAGCTCTGTGTTCCTGTCATCCCTCCTTTCAGCAAAAGTCCTGTTCCCGTTCCCTCTGTCCCCACCCACTCCTGTTCCCCCAAGAAAATAAGCTATCGTTGTATTTGCAATCTATGGATTAGAGGTTTAAGTATTTATTATTATTGGTTAATTATTATTAATTATGTAAATTTGCCTCCCATATGTCTGTTGCGTTGGGTTTCTGAGGAGACCCTGGGTGAGGAGGATGCACTGGCTTCCCGCTTCTCGCCCCCCACCCCTGTGCTGTCCGGGAGACAGTGGTCTGGGGCCACTGGTTGGGCCCCCTTCTCCCTTCCCCCTTCCCCTTGTCCCTTCTGCAGGCCGTTGAGGGGGGCTGTCTGTCTCAGTCTGTCTCTGCTCCCACTCTTGAGGCACTGGTTACCGCAAAGTGAGCAGCCAGCAGGGGGGCGAAGGTCCTGTGTTGGCCACTGCCTCCTCCAGTGCTGCAGGAGGCGGGCTGAGGCCCCACCTGGTGGCTTTCACCTGACCCAGCCCTGAGTCCTCTCCAAGCCTCTCTCCGGCCCCTCCCACCTGGCCACTGCCTCCTCCAGTGCTGCGGGAGGCGGGCCAGGGCCCCACCTGGTGGCTTTCACCTGACCCAGCCCTGAGTCCTCTCCAAGCCTCTCTCCGGCCCCTCCCACCTGGCCACTGCCTGGCATTGGGATCGCCCCAAAATGGACCCGGCCCCTCCTGTTATTTGCTGGGAAGTCCAGCGGAGGAGAGGGTGCAGGTCCCCCGCTGAGCCTCCAGTCTCTGTAGACTGGGCTGCCGGCCCTTCAGCCCCCCTTGGAGCCCCTCCCGCCACAGCCGCACCTTCTGCTCCCGGCCCCTCCCTTTGTATTTGGAGACAATGTGTTGTAATAAAGCTTAAAGTGGATGTTTTCCCCACGACTCCGCGCCTCTTCCTTCAGACTGGTGGTGGGCAGGGTGGGGGCAGAGGCTGCTGGGAGGCAGGCCTGAGGCCAGAGCCTGGTGTGTTGGGTCTGGAAACTTGCCCCAGGCTCACACCGCGGGTGAGCTCTGAGAATAGTCCCTGGGGGCCAGGCATGGGCACAGGTCCTCAGCTGCACCTTTAGGGTGTAAAACACACTTTTTCAGTTGTTACAGGCTAGTAAAAGCTTAAATAACTTAAAACGATATAAAACCTCAGTGTTACCCACCAGTCCCCTCACTCCCACAATCCCAATGTGAACAGTTGGATGCTTCCCTCCCAGCCCCTCCATGTGTGCTGTGTGCTGTGTGCATGTGTGTGGGTGCATATACGTACCAGCAGAAATAGGGGTCTAGCTATATATAGTGTCTCCAACCAGACTTTTTTTTTTTTTTTTTTTGAAATGGAGTTTCGTTCTGTCATCTAGGCTGGAGTGCAATGGTGCGATCTCCGCTCACTGCAACCTCCGCCTCCCCGGTTCAAACAATTCTCATGCCTCAGATTCCCAAGTAGCTGGGATTACAGGCACGTGCCATCACACTTGGCTAATTTTTGTATTTTTAGTAGAGATGGGGTTGCACCATGTTGGCCAGGCTGGTCTCAATCTCACTGACCTCAAGTGATCCGCTTGCTTTGGCCTCCCAAAGTGCTGGGATTACAGGTGTGAGCCACCGTGCCTGGCCTCCAACCAGCTTTTCAAATCTTAAGTAATGTGCATGTCATACAAGGATTAAAAGCACACCAGGGTATGTGGTAGAAAGTACTGGTTTGTCTCCCCCAGGCTTGTCCCCAGCCTCCAGGGTCCTCTCCCTGGAGGCAGCCCCAGCCCGGCCTGCAGAGCCCCGCCTCCCCCCCCCCCACCCCCCACCGAGGGCAGACCTGGCTGCTGCAGGTGCCACAGGCTGCAAAGATTCACAGTGTGCGTGCAGCCCGGGCTGAGGCTTGTCTACACTGTGGCGGAGGATACCAGATCTGTCCTTACCACACAGACCTGGTTCATGCAGCTTCTTCCAGGTTTAGTATACCTCTCCCAGGGACCCCTCCCAACCAGTGATGCTGTCCAGACCGTGTGTGTGAGTGCTCATGAGACAGGAGGAAGAGGAAGCAAGAGAGGGGAAGAGGAGGGGGCCAGTCCCTCCTCGGGGGCTGCAGGAGGAGGTAGGGTCCTTGAATCCTGCATCTTTAAGAGTCCTCAAAAAGGAGGAAAGCTAGAAACATAGTCTGATGCTCCCGCAAGGCTATTTTTGGCTCAAGAACATCTATTTATAACTCAGGCAGCCCCCAGCAGTCAATAAAACTGAGGCCTGGAAAGAGCTGATGGCTGACTCAAGCAGCACCGAGGTGCTCCCTTACCCCCTGTGCGCAGGAGCACCTGCAGCTCCAGCAGGTGGGTGACGGCCTCTCCTAGGATGCCCATCTGGGGCACATAGGTCTCAGGACCCTGGGGGCAGTGTAAGACTCCAGATGGAAGGAGGGGGTCTCATTTACCAACTCAATCAGGCTCCTAGTGGTCCAAGAGCTGCCCAAAGTAGGCGGTGAAGCAAGAGTTGAACACTGGTGGACTGGCCTCCAACTGCTACGTAGAGTCCCCTAAAGGCTTGTTGCCCTGCCTACAGCTGTGTCTCCCCCCAGGACAAGAGCTTTAGTTGCTGGATGGGTCTTGGATGGGTGGGTAGATGGGTGGATGAGGGAGGGAGACATGGATGGATGGATAGGTGAATTTATGGATGGGCAGATGGATGAATGGTGGATGGATGGATGGGTGCATGGATGGGTGGGTAGAAGGGCAGATGGATGAATGGGTAGAGGGATGCGTGGGGTGGGTGGGTGGGTAGATGGATGGATGGATGGATCAATGAATGGGTGGATGGGTGGGCAGATGGATGAATGGGTAGAGGGATGAGTGGGGTGGATGGGTGGATGGATCAATAGGTGGAGGGATAAATGGGATGGGTGGATGGATGGATAGAGGGGCAGATGGATGAATGGGTGGAGAGGGATGAGTGGGGTGGATGGATGGATGGATGGATGGATGGGCAAATGGATGAATGGGTAGAGGGATGAGTGGGGTGGGCGGGTGGATGGATGGATGGGCAGATGGATGAATGGGTAGAGGGATGAGTGGGGTGGGTGGGTGGATGGATGGATGGATGGGCAGATGAATGAATGGGTAGAGGGATGAGTGGGGTGGGCAGGTGGGTGGACGGATGGATGGATGGGCAGATGGATGAATGGGTAGAGGGATGAATGGGGTGGGTGGATGGATGGATGGATGGGCAGATGGATGAATGGGTAGAGGGATGAGTGGGGTGGATGGGTGGGTGGATGGATGGATGGATGGGCAGATGGATGAATGGGTAGAGGGATGAGTGGGGTGGGTGGGTGGATGGATGGATGGGCAGATGGATGAATGGGTAGAGGGATGAGTGGGGTGGGTGGGTGGATGGATGGATGAGCAAATGGATGAATGGGTAGAGGGATGAGTGGGGTGGGTGGTTGGATGGATGGATAGGCAGATGATGAATGGGTAGAGGGATGAGTGGGGTGGATGGGTGGGTGGATGGATGGATGGATGGGCAGATGGACGAATGGGTAGAGGGATGAGTGGGGTGGGTGGGTGGATGGATGGATGGATGGGCAGATGAATGAATGGGTAGAGGGATGAGTGGGGTGGGCGGGTGGGTGGATGGATGGATGGGCAGATGGATGAATGGGTAGAGGGATGAATGGGGTGGGTGGATGGATGGATGGATGGATGGGCAGATGGATGAATGGGTAGAGGGATGAGTGGGGTGGATGGGTGGGTGGATGGATGGATGGATGGGCAGATGGATGAATGGGTAGATGGATGAGTGGGGTGGATGGGTGGGTGGATGGATGGATGGATGGATGGGCAGATGGATGAATGGGTAGAGGGATGAGTGGGGTGGGTGGGTGGATGGATGGATGGATGGGCAGATGGATGAATGGGTAGAGGGATGAGTGGGGTGGATGGGTGGGTGGATGGATGGATGGATGAGCAAATGGATGAATGGGTAGAGGGATGAGTGGGGTGGGTGGGTGGATGGATGGATGGGCAGATGGATGAATGGGTAGAGGGATGAGTGGGGTGGGTGGATGGATGGATGGATGGATGGGCAGATGGATGAATGGGTAGAGGGATGAGTGGGGTGGGTGGGTGGATGGATGGATACGTGGGCAGATGGATGAATGGGTAGAGGGATGAGTGGGGTGGATGGGTGGGTGGATGGATGGATGGATGAGCAAATGGATGAATGGGTAGAGGGATGAGTGGGGTGGGTGGGTGGATGGATGGATGGGCAGATGGATGAATGGGTAGAGGGATGAGTGGGGTGGGTGGGTACATGGATGAATGGGTGGAGGAATGAATAGGATGGATGGATGGATGAATACATAAATGGGTATTCATAAATAGGCAAGTAGATGTGTGGCTAGGGAGTAGAAGGAAAGGAAGGTGGACAGATGGATGGACGGGTGGAGAAGTGATGGGGTGGATAGGAGGTGGAAGAATGGGTAAATGAGAGGGAGGGAGGGAGCGAAGGTGGGTGGGTAATAATGTTACATTGCGTTAGTTGCACTTCTGTTAGTCTTACATTAAAGCCAGCTTGTGCTTACCTCCATTCTCCATTGGACTGCAGATGGGTACCTGGTCTTTGCATACAGAAGGTACCCAGTGAATGTCCAATGAATAAGCCACATACTAACTGTCTTGGAGTGGGACATCACAGGAGAGACCCTCTCCAAGGCCCAGGGAGAGGAACAGGCTTGGTCAATGTCCCTTAGAGGGTCAGGGGCCAAGTTGGGGCTGGGCTTGGTTCCTGGTCTCTCAGGCACCATTCCTCTGCCTGCCGAGCCATCCCTGGAAGTAAGCTGGAGGCTGGTCTCAGTGGCACCCCTGCCAGCTGCCACTGTACTCCTGTGGATGGACTTACCAAGGCCCTTCCGGAGCTCAGAACTGAAGAGACTGAGCAGGAGAAAGGGCAGAGGGCCAGTTCTCAGGAAGCCTTTCAGGAGGAGAGTTTTGGCCTCTGAAGGCCAGGTTGTGTTTGGAGGGGCTGGGGGCAGGTGGGGCAGGAGGACATTGCAAAGGTCCACAGCATGGGAGAAAAGGCAGAGGTAGGAGCGCCCTGCGGGGAGCCAGGCAGAAGCTGAAGGCCTCTGGCCAAGGCAAGGCCCGACGGGAAGAGGGTGCATCTCGATGGGGCTCTGAATGGCAGGTGGGTTGGGGGAGTGTCTAAGAAGAGTGGTTCTTTGTGGGCAAGATGAAGGGAGGACTTGCTGTTAAGGGGAAGCCATGGAGTCTTTGAGGGGCCTATACAATGGACACCAGCAGAGGGTGCCCCAACCTCCCCGGAAGGGCGCAGGGCACAGGGCAGGGCGGGCCCTGGACAGAGGGTGGGAGAGGAGGGGCTGATTCTCAGCAGAGCTTCACAACAAATGCCTTGTGTCCATGGTGGGAGCACGTGGGGAAACTCAATTATCCCTGCAGGCAGCTGGGGCTCGGCGGCACAGTCCCTCCAGAGAAAGCACAGCCTTCTGGCCCAGGGGTGAGGGTCTAGACCTGTAAGGCAGCCCACAGTCCCAGGCCCCACTCCTGCCCCTGGGAATGGGTCTCCTGGGGTAGGAGCCTCTGTGGAAGACACTAGGCCCTGAAGGCGTGATGATGGCTTGTTTGTGAAGCGAGTGGTCCCTGACTGTGGGGACCAGAGCTCAGAGGGGATCCTGGTGGGGCGAGGGGAACATGCGTGTGCCTCCCACCCCCAAGCAGGGCGATGCCAGGGCAGGCCTTTGCCAAACACTAGGCAAGTGCCTGGGTGGATGCCCTTCAGTCCTTCCAAACTGAGCAGGTAGACTTGTCTTGCTTCAGAACCCTTCAATGTCCCCCTCCAGAGGGGCTGGGTTGGGGGTGGCCTCAGGGAGGGAAGGGGTATGGGAGCTGAACTGGAGTTGAGTGAGAATGCTGGGGAGAGGGAGGCCTCAGTAGTGGGGTGAGAGGAGAGGAACTCAGTGAAGGGCCTTCATTCTGGAAGGTGGGCGGGGGGAGGGGGACGGGTGCTAGGTCCAGGGGCATCTCTCCCAGTCTTTGCAGACACCACCCATGAAACCAAGGAACAGTGGCCTGTCCCCAGGCAGCTCCCAGGAGGAAGCTCTGGGAAGGAAAGGGGAAGACGCCGCTTACCCCTTCCCCGCCAGGAATTCTGCTGCCCCCCCCCCCCACCAAGTCCAGTGCCCTCCCACTCTGCCCCAGCACATGCGCCCTCATGGCTGAGCGCACCTGCAGAACGCACTCCCGCCCCCCACACACCTGGGGCCTCCGACCAGGACAGCGCAGGGCAGGTGACTACCCAGGAAGGGTAGGGGAATGTAGGGGGACTGGTGGCACCGTTGGCATCGCCGGCCGAAGCCTGCCCCTGACTGACGCAATTGCCGGCCGGTCGCAGCTATAAATAGCCAAGGAGAGCTGGAAATAGAAGCCAGGGAAGGGCCAGAGGCGGGTGGAGGGAGGAGCTTGGGCTTGAGCACCTGATGCCAGAGGAGGAAAACAAAACTCCATTCTAGGGCTCCCCTCCCTCATCCCACCCCAGCCCAGAGGGGCGTTTGCACCCGGAAACGTTTGGGGAAGCAGGGTGAAGTCAAGAACCTGCCCAACAGTGGGCGGGGCCTCCCTGCCGCGAGGGTCGGGGCGCGTGGAGCCTGCGCTGGCCACAGCCCGCGGTCTTCGGCTCTGGGTCATCTGCGGGGCAGTGGCCCCTCCTGATATCCGCCCGCCCCCACTCCCAAGCAGAAAGAGATTCCGGTGCCTCTCCACCCTCCCCACCCCACTCCCTCCGTCAAGCCCCTGGCCCAGGAGACCCCCGACAGCCCTGGAACACAGGGCCGATTGGCGAGATCAGTGGACACTAGGCCTGCCCAGAGCCTAGCCGGTGGGGGCGGCGTCCTGGGGGTGGGAGGGGGGCTTGTGGGGCAGTTTCCATATCTTCCTCGCCCAACCCAATCCTTCGGCCAGCGGCAGGAATGGGGCTCAGAGACTTTGCCGGCCTGGGGCAGGGCGCACTGCAGCCAGTGTGGAAGCCAGACCCAAACCGGACGGTCCCGGTGCCTGGTTCTGCTCGGTCACCTCTTGCCCACCTACCCAGCGGGCGCTCACAAGCTGGGGGCCCAAAAGAGGAACAGAAAACCAGAGGACTGGGGGGGCTTTGAGGCTGAAGGGCGAAGGCCCTTCCCGGACACCCTTGAGCCCTCCACCCTGAGCCCCTAGCAGCGCCAGGGAGTGACTTCAGTCCGGGTTCCTACTGTGGGGCCTCCGCCTCTCGGAGGGCATTAGGGCTGGCAAGGCGCGGCCGATGGGGCCCTTCGCCTGTGTGGACCGTAACAAGAAACTCCAGGAGGGGCAGGATTGAGGGCAGTAGGACGGGGTTGGTGTGGGCGAGGGGAGGTTTGGGTCCCCCCACCTCTCCGGGCAGCTGGTGGCGGCCCCGCCCTCCCTGAGGGCAAGGAACCCGCAGCCGGGAGGACGGCGGCTGCAGGCCAGTGTAGGGTGGGCGCGGTCCCATTAGAGCGGGCGGGGTCCGCCAGGATGGGCGGTGAGGTCAGCCCCGACGTAGGGGGCCCAGAGCATCGCTGGGTGGCTCGGGTGGCACCGGCGTCCGGGCCGCCAACCCCGCAGGAAGCGCCCAGTCACAATCCCGCCCCAGGGCTCCTCCACGCCCCGCCGCCCAGAGCCCAGAACCTGCCCAACCTGCGCGCGCCGCGGGGCGCAGCCGGGGGCTCCGAGGACCGGGAGGCAGGCGCGGGGGGTGCGCCAGCTGCTCGCGATGACCTCACGCCCGGCGGGGCCGCGCCCACTCCCAGACTGCCCTCCGCGGCGCTCTCCATCCGCAAAGCGCCGCTGCTCCTCGGCTCCCGCGTCCTGCGCGCCCCTCGCGGGTCCGGGTCCCCAGGCACTGCTGGCGTGGAGGGCGGGCGCGGGGAGCAGCTGCTCCGCTCCGAGCACGTGGGCAGCGCGGCTCCGGGTCCGGGGCCTAGGTGGGCAAACACCTGTCCCGCATGGGCGGGGCGAGCGCCCCTCCGGAGCCCGCCTGTCCGGCCCGGGGAACGTAGTATGAGCTCTTCTCCCGCCTCGGGCTTCGACTTGGGCTCGCCCGCCACCCCCACCCGGCGCTCCCCGAACCCGAGGCGGAGCGCAGCCCGGCAGCGCCATCTGCTGCCCGCGCCCGCCGAGGCTGGGGCCGGTTCTCGGGCCGGGGGCCCTGCACGCACGCCCACCCGTCGGGAACCCACCTGCTGGGAGGAAGGCACAGCCCTGTCTCCACCCCGCGCCCCCAGCCCACCCTCCTTCTAAGGCCCTCCCCTTGGTCCTTCGGCTGCCTCAGCTGTACCCACAACCTGCACCTGCTCTGGGCTTGCGGGTCCCGCAGGAAGGTCGCCCACACCGCGGCCCCAGGGACTCAGGCAGTCAGTGACCAGCTGTGTCTCCAGCCAGGTTTTCTCCCTGTCCTCCAGACCGGGCAATGCCAAATGGCAGCGGCCACCTGCGTCTGACTAGGCCCCCATCCCAACGCCTCCAACCCCCTTCGCGGCCACCCCCCCTTCTCAGGTAAGCAGTACACCTAGCTGCTGTTCTTGGCTCTCCCGCCACCACGCCCTCACCTGGATGGTTCCGCCAGACCCCGCAGGCCCCTTAGTCCGCCCCAGCCCTACCCAGCTGTCTACAAAGCGCATTCCTGGAAGGGCCCCTCCCTGGTCTGCCGGTGTGCTCTGCGCTCCTCCCCCAGCCCAGGTGCAGGGCGGCACTCTGAATCCCCTACCGTGCAGAGGGCATGTTCACCTCGGCCCTTGACTTCCCAGCAGGGCCTGGCATTGAGGGTGCCGCCCTGGGATATTGTGTGTGGCCTGAGGCTGCTGGAGCCAAGCACCGCAAACCAGGCGGCTTCAACAGAAACGTCTCTCCAGCCCTGCGCGGTGGCTCATGCCTAGAATCCCAGCACTTCGGGAGGCTGAGGCAGGCGGATCATCTGAGGTCAGGAGTAAGACACCAGCCTGGCCAACATGGTGAAACCCCAGTCTCTACTAAAACTACAAAAATAAGCCGGGTGTAGTGGCAGGCACCTGTAATCCCAGCTACTCAAGAGGCTAAGGCCGGAGAATCCCTTGAACTCGGGAGGTGGAGGTTGCAGTGAGCTGAGATGGCGTCACTGCACTCCAGCCTGGGTGACAGAGCAAAATTCTGTCTCAAAACAAAACAAAAAAAGAAGAAAGAAGGAAAGAAAGGAAGGAAGGAAGGAAGGAAGGAAGGAAGGAAGGAAGGAAGGAAGGAGGGAGGAAAGAAAGGAAGGAAGGGAGAGAAAAAGAAAAGAAATGTCTCTACAAGGTCTGGAGGCCATGAGTCCAAGATCCAGGTGTAGGCAGGTGGGCTCCGTGGAGGGCCAGGAGGGAGCATCTGCCTCAGCCCCTCGCTGCAGCCTTTCACAAGGCCGTCCACCCACCCTACTCCAGTGTGGCCTCATCTTAACTAGGTTCTTCTGCAGTGACCCTAGTTCCAAATAATGAGGTCACATTCTGAGGTACTGGGGTCAGGACATCGACATATGAATGTGGGATGCACAATCCCACCCATAACAGGTATCGGTGGGAGAAGGAGGCGTGTGCAGGCTCTATGACCACCACCGGGAACCCTTCAGACTGCCCTCACCACACTGCTGGCAACCAGTCCTAGGAACGGGCTCCGCAGAGGTGAGTTTGCAGAGCCAGCATCCCAGGAGGTGGGGCCCGCATGGGTTTGATAAGTAAAAGCTGTCAGGCTGTCAGGGTCCATCTGGTCCGGGGACTCCCACCCTCCTGCCCTCCAGCAATGCCTGGGGGGATCTTTAAATGCAGGGCCCAGGGACCTACATAGCCAGCCTCTGTGGGGGCAGGGCTCAGGAATCTGTATTTCCAAAGTTTCCCTACGGAGTCTGCTGCATCTGTTGATGAGACATGTACATTTGGGGACCTGAAATCTAGGGGTCCCTACCCAGTGGATGGAGGGGACAATAGTGAACCCCAGCTGGCTAGAGGCAGAGCCAGGAGGAAGGCTGAGCCTCCTGGCCTCCATCTGTAGTTACTGTGTGGGTGCATCCCCACGAGGCCGAGGCCCTGCTCCTTCACTGCTTCCTGACCCTCCACGCCTCCAGGCCACGCTTTGGCCATGTGCACCATGCACTCTGTGTCCCAGGGCACAGGCTCCCACCAGGACAGCTTCTCCCAGTCTGGCTCCAGGCACTGCGTGGCTTGTGGGAGCAGCAGCAGCTCCCACTGGACCCTGGAGGGCAGAGCTGTCCTGCCAGTACCCCACCTGTGTAATGGGCCTCAGTGTCCCAATCCAGGAGAGGGAGCTGGAGCAGGCCTGGTGCCTCCTCCTTCCCATAGGGAGACGGGGAACCTGTGCACAGGCTAGCTCTGTGGGGGCCAGTTCCATACTGTGCCGCACCCACTGGGCCCTCTGGGGCCTCAGGGTCTTGTCTGCAAAATGGGAATTGGGGAGGGGTGGAATGTCAGTAACTTACTTTCCCGTTCCTGCTTTTTGTGGATTTTTTCCATTAACATGTGTGGAACCCTTCTGGTGCTGGGGATGGCCCCTCGGAGCCCCCGTGCCTGGGAAACAAGCCTCTGTCATCACTCTGAGATCAGTGGTTTCTGTGACAGGTGTGTACAAAAGGTGCCACCACTCAGGAAGGCTGCCTGGAGGAAGGGGCATGTGAGAGAGGCCTTGTGTGATGAGCAGGAGTTCTTTGAGAGGAGCAACTCCTTCCCAACAGTAGCAGCACATTCGAAGCCCCGCAGTGCAGGGGAGCCCATGACTGCAGCCACGGGAGCCCCTGACCGACCACACACCCACCTAGGGCCGGGCACCCTGCCGAGTGCACAGGATGAAGTAGTTCCTAGAGCTGGGGAGGGGGCAGGGAACGGTCAGTTCCCAAGGATGTCAGACTCTGTCCCCAGGGCAAGGGGAGCAAACCTGCAGGTCCTTGCCTGAAAGGGTGTTTTGTTAGGGGCTGGCACCACCGGCCAGGAAGGGTGGTGGATCCCGGCCGGGTGGGGGTGGCAGGAAGGGTGCTCATTGGGGACACAAAGGGCAGGTTCCCAACTCCCCAGGTCAGTCACCTCTTTGCTTCAAGGAATGGCCTGCAGGTGACCCTGGGGGTCAGGGCCTCAAGGAGCAACCCACGGCAGCCTGGACGCTGCCTGCCCTGAGCGCTCTCTGCCCAGGTCTGGACAAGGACTCTGCCCATCCTGCACTTGCCAGCTGGCAGGTGGCCTGTGCCCCAGCCTCAGGCCTCATCTGCATTTGCAGATCACTGGCACCTTACAAGAATGATTCCCAGGGGAGATGAGCCCCGTCTCAGCCTCAGGTAAAGCACACCCTATATGCTATGAATCATGTGGCCGGTAACTGCACCTGTTACAAGTTGAATTGTGTGCCCCAGAAAGATATGCTCAGAGATGGGGCACGGTGGCTCACACCTGTAATCCCAAGGCTTTGAGAGTCCAATGCAGGAGGATCGTTTGTACCCAGGAGGTTGAGGCTGCAGTGAGCTGCGATGGTACCGTTGCACTCCAGCCTGGGCAGCAGAGCCATACCCTGTCTCAAATAAATATATATATATACACACACACACACATATATACACACACATACGTGTGTGCGCATAAAATAATAAACATATTTTATATATATACATATATATGTGTGTGTATGAGAGTGTGTATATATGTGTACATATATATGTATATATATGTGTACATATATATGTATATATATGTGTACATATATATATGTATATATATGTGTACATATATATATGTATATATATGTGTACATATATATGTATATATATGTGTACATATATATGTATATATATGTGTACATATATATGTATATATATGTGTACATATATATATATATGTATATATATATATGAGACAAAGTCTTGCTCTGTCACCCAGGCTAGAGTGCAGTGGCACCATCTCAGCTCACTGCAACCTCTGCCTCCCAGGTTCAAGTGATTCTCCTGCCTCAGCCTCCCGAGTAGCTGGGACTACAGGCATGTGCCACTACGCCTGGCTAATTTTTGTATTTTCAGTAGAAACAGGGTTTCACCATGTTGGCTAGGCTGGTATTGAACTCCAGACCTCAGGTGATACACCTGTCTCGGCCTCCCAAAGTGCTGGGATTACAGGCATGAGCCACTGCTCCTGGCCAGGACAGGGCAGCTTTCTGGGAGCAGAGGCTGCAGCCCTCCCTCTACTGGACCTCAGTGAATCCTGGCTAGCGGGACCTTTGATGGGGGTTGTTGCAGCCGCCTGCAGGTCCTGGGGGAGGAAGTGGCCTGGAGGGCCGTGCGTGAATGGGCAGGTGACAGCCCTGGATGTGGGTAGCAGCATCCACCAGAGATGAGCAGGAGCACCCAGCCTGCCTCCCTGTGGTGCCGCCGTGGCCTGTTTACTTAGCCACACCTGGAGATAGGGAGGCAGAGGGCACCCTCTCAGAGAGCACTGGCAGCTGCTTCAGGTCATGCACACGGAGCTTTCGGCTGCACCTGGCTCATGGGACGGCCCCAGCCATAATCCCAGGTGACACTGATTATCAGCATCCTCATGCCCTGCCTGCATTCCGGTCACCCCAGGGGCACCAGGCCCCCACGGAGAGCTAAGCCAAATGCAGGGGCTGTCCTGGCCTCTGGAGGGGAGGCGGGGATGACTGAAGCCTGGAGAACACTGCCCAGCCTGCTCCCAAGGGTGACCACCTTGACTGTTTCCTCAAGACCCAGGGAGGAGCATCCCTTTGGTAGGCAGGTCATGGTGGGACAATGGCGGGCTTGAGAGCAGATGTTTCTGGAACCCCAGCTGCCCGCCCACTCGCTGAGTGACCTCGGACAAGCCTCTGGTCCTCCAGGAGCCTCAGCCTCCTCTCTGGATTGTCACTGCCTGGGGATTAAGTGAGGGAGCAGGAGCAGGACAGCAGGCACAGTGCGATCAGCAGGAGGGCATCTGAGGCGTTTGTTGAAGGCTTGGAAGAGCTGGCGGCACCTTGGGACCGGGAGGCAGGGCAGGCTTCTGCGCCACCATCCCCAAATCAGACTCTGTTCAGGTCTAGGAGGTACAGGGAATGCTGAACCATGGGGGTGCTGGGGATGGAGGGGCTGCCCAGGCAGGCGCTGGCAGCTGTGGCTACCCTCAGCCTCACTGGGGACTGTCCCAAGCACAAGAACCAGCTCAGAGGTGAGAGGGAGCCATTGTTCTCCAGGCTCTGCAGCGTAGGAGAATGTGTGTGTCACGAGGCCTACCCCGTGCCAAGGCCTCTCGGCGGCGCAGCCTGGGACAGAGAGGGGACGCTGAGCACCAGCTATGTCCCCTGCTGGCCCCGAAAGGCAATGAGTGGGCCCGAGAGAAGGACAGACAGGGTCAGAGCAGAGTCCGTGAATGACCCCGCAGGGCTTGGCCTGCATCCTGGAGTCAGCGGTTGACTGGGGAATCAGGTCTTTCCCCTGAAACATGCCATGAGGTCACCCTTATCCTGGAAGCCCCAGCTTTCCACCCCACAGTGGAGGACAGCTGCCCGAGGATCTCCACAAAGGTCCTGCCTGTAAGGGGTCCCCAGTCTAGATGGAAGCATGATTGGGAAAATCAAGCCCCTCACTTCTCTGGCCAGGAACTCCCAGTGGGCACAGCAGCCCCTGGGGCTGCTCTAGAGCCAGGCAGAAGGAAGGAGCCTGATTAGAAAGGGCAGGGGCTGTCACGAGGCGGCTTCAATCCACAGAAATGGACTGTCTCTCAGTCCTGGAGGCCAGAAGTCTGACATTGTCAGCATCACCAGGGCTGGTTTCTTCTGAGGGCTGTGAGGAAGGGTCTGCTCCAGGTGTCGCTCCTCGGTTTGTGTTGTAGATGGCCTTCTCCTTCCTGTGTCTCTTCACACTGTCTTCTCTACGTGAGGCTGTGTCCAAACTCCCCCCGACCCTTTTTATTTTTTTTGAGACAGTCTCTCTGTCACTCAGGCTGGAGTGCAGTGGTGTGATCCTGGCTCACTACAACCTCTGCCTCTCGGGTTCAAGCGATTCTCCTGTCTCAGCCTCCCGAGTAGCTGGGATTACAGGCGCCCACCACCAGGCCCAGCTAATTTTTGTATTTTTAGTAGAGACAGCGTTTCACCATGTTGGCCAGGCTGGTCTCGAACTCCTGATCTCAGGTGATCCACCCGCCTCTGCCTCCCAAAGTGCTGGGATTACAGGCGTGAGCCACCGCACCCAGCCTAAATTCCTCCTTTTTATAAGGTCACCAGTCATATAGGATTGGAAGCCCCCACCCCACCAGGACCTCATCTTAACAAATGACATCTGTGGACAGGGCATGGGGGCTCACGCCTATAATCGAGACCAATCTGGCCAATGTGGTGAAACATCGTTTCTACTAAAAACATAAAAATTAGCCGAGCGTGGTGGTGGACACCTGTAATCCCAGCTACTCAGGAGGCTGAGGCAGGAGAATCAATTGAACCTGGGAGGCAGAGGTTGCAGTGAGCCGAGATCGCACCATTGCACTCCAGCCTGGGCAACAAGAGCAAAACTCCATCTCAAACAAACAACAACAACAAAAAATGACGTCTGCAGTGACTCTTTTTCCAGATAAGGTCCCTTTCAGACCTTACTGGTACTAGGGGTTAGAACTGCCTCTTATCTTTCCAGGGGACACACGTCAGCCCATGACACTGAGTGTGCCGTGACCCTCTCCCTGGCTCTGTTTACCCCAGGGTACTGGTCATTTTGAATGCGCTGCCTGCTTTATTATTTTTTTCACTGACACTCCACAGCTCCTCAAGGGGAGGCTTTAGTCTGTTGTGTCTACTACTGTTCTCCAGGCACCTTACAAGTGCCTTGTCCTTGTACGTAGTTGGCACTCACTACCTATTTGTCAGATGAATGGGTGAATGGAAGGAGGAGAGGGCTGAGTGGGAAACGCTATGGGTCTTCCTTCCTGCCAGAACTGTCAACCAAAAGCAAACCTTAATCTCCAGAGATGCCCAGAAATGGGTGCCACCCTCCCAGACCCCAAAGTTGCAGAGAAGGGGCCCCTCTAGGATTCCAGTCTCACTCCCACGTGTTGTCTGTGCGGAAGACAGAGAGTGTTGGTGATTGACAGTGGATTGAAAGATGTAATGATTCCAACTGCAGCTGTTCTTCCAGACGTGGTGTCCTTATTGGAGCCAATCAACAGTTATGATTCAGCTATTGATCAGGCAGCCACACCCACCTCAATCCCAATAAACAGAGAACATCAGAAGCAGGGTGTTGTTATTTGGAGAAATTGGCAGTATACCTCCCCACTCAGGCCTCAGGGTCCTGCAAACTCGAATTCGCTCTGCCACAATTTCATCCACATCGACTTTTTTATTTTTTTTTGAGACAGAGTTTCACTCTTGTCGCCACGCTGGAGTGCAGTGGCGCCATCTCGGCTCACTGCAATCTCTGCCTCCAGGGTTCAAGCAATTCTCCTGCCTCAGCCTTCGGAGTAGCTGGGATTACAGGTGCACGCTACCACGCCCAGCTAATTTTTTTTTGTATTTTTGGTAGAGATGGGGCTTTACCATGTTGCCCAGGCTGGTCTCCAACCCGCCTCAGCCTCCCAAAGTGCTGGGATCACAGGTGCCTGCCACCACGCCCAGCTAATTTTTGTATTTTTAGTAGAGACGGGGTTTCACCATGTTGGTCAGGCTGGTCTCAAACTCCTGACCTCAAGATCCGCCCGCCTTGGCCTCCCCCAGTGCTGGGATCACAGGCGTCAGCCACCGCGCCCGGCCTCGTCCACACAGATTTTGATTGTCTCTTAGGATATCACATCGTATGAATGATGCCACGTTCACAGGCCCCGGAGCCGAGGACCTAGATACTCTAGAGGCTAAATAATACACGTGTGGCCGGGCGCGGTGGCTCACACCTGTAATCCCAGTACTTTGGGAGGCCGAGGTGGGCAGATCATGAGGTCAGGAGTTCGAGACCAGCCTGACCAACATGATGAAACTCTGTCTCTACTAAAAATACAAAAATTAGCCAGGCGTGGTGGTGCACGCCTGTAATCCCAGCTATGTGGGAGGCTGAGACAGGAGGATCCCTGGAGCCCAGGAGGCAGAGGCTGCAGTAAGCCGAGATTGTGCCACTGTACTCCAGCCTGGCAACAGAGCAAGACTCTGTCTAAAAAGAAAAAAAGAAAAAGAGAAAAAATATACATGTGCTTGCCAAGAGATATATCCCATGAACATTTAGGGATTTGGCAACATTTTGGGGATCTAATGATCTGAGAACATTCTTTTCAAAGTAAAGGATGGGCTGTTTCACCTCCAGCACCATGATACACCGATGGATGTGTCAATTAGACATTGTCTTTTCCTTCAAGTAGCAGAAATTCGGAAGAACGATGATTTAACCCATATTTCTTTCAAATAACATAAGCACCTTGGTAAGAGAATCAGGATTGTCGTGGAGGGTTCTGAGTTTCAGCAGGAACCCAGGTTCTTTCTGCCTTTCTGCTCTCCATCATCACTTCCTCATGCTCCAAGGTGGCTGCAAGAGCTCCAGCCATCATTTTTTTTGTCTATTCTGGTCAGGAAGCAGGAGACTGGGACAGGGCTGGGGTAGACAGGAAGGACAAAAAGGATTTCCTGGAAGCTATGCAATAATTTCACCTTACATCTCGTTGGCCACCTCGCCTACCTGGGAAGCTGGATAAAATAGTTTTTCCTGTGGTCATATTGCTCAGCATTCAATTACTAAGTAAAAAGAGGAGAAGGAAGGAGGAGGAAGAGGGGGAGAAGCAAAGAGAAGAAAAAGGAAATGGAAGTAGACGTGGGGCAGCTAACCTACCCTCTCTGACCAGTACTTACTGAATGTGCTGTTCTTAACTAATTAGCAAGAGACCCAAGAGTGCATGAAAGCTTTAAATGTGCCCCAGATTGAAAACAATGTTTAGCTGGAGCTGCAGTACAAGCAGTTCTGTCAGTTGCCACTTTTTTTTTTTTTGTCTCATTCTTGCTGCCCACACTAGAGTGCAATGTCATGGTCTTGGCTCACTGCAACCTCAACCTCCCAGGTTCAAGTGATTCTCCTGCCTCAGCCTCCCAAGTAGGTGGGATTACAGGTGCCTGCCACCATGCCCGGCTAATTTTTGTGTTTTTAGTAGAGATGGGGTTTCACTGTATTGGCCAGGCTGGTCTCAAACTCCTGACCTCAAGCGATCCACCTGCCTTGGCCTCTTAAAGTGCAGGGATTATGGGCATGAGCCACCACGACCAGCCTGGGGGACAGATTCTTGTGACCCTTGTTAAGACTTTGGTAACCAAGTAATCCTCCAGGGAAGGATGGTGGTACACTCATCTCATGGGCCCCAGGCTGGGTCTGGGTGCCAGGGGAAGGCTGGTGAGGACCTTGGAGCTGCTGCCTCAGAGGGCCCTGGCCAGGGAAGAGGTGTTTGCCGTTGCCTGGCTGTAAAAGTGGGCAGTTCCAAGAGGGCAGTGAGATTTTCAAGTGGGATTAGCATGGAGTGCAGTTATCTTTGCATATGTGGTTTCAAATCTATTGGACGTTGTGAATCATGAATTCTTTAACAATTCCTTAAATATATGCTTCCCCCCCTCCTTTTTTTTTTTTTTTTTTTTTTTTGAGACGGAGTCTTGCTCAGCTGCCCAGGCTGGAGTGCAGTAGCGCGATCTTGGCTGGCTCACTGCAACACTGTTTCCCGGGTTCAAGTGATTCTCCCCTCTCAGCCTCCTGAGTCGCTGGGATTACAGGCGCCTGCCACCACACCCGGCTAATTTTTTTGTGTTTTAGTAGAGATGGGGTTTCACCATGTTGGCCAGGCTGGTCTTAAACTCCTGACCTCAGGTGATCCGCCTACCTTGGCCTCCCAATGTGCTAGGATTACAGGCGTGAGCCACCGCGCCTGGCTGTGCTTCCTGTTTTAAGAGGTACATTTCAGTGGTCAAGTACTGCTTTTCCTCCAGAGCCTGTTTTAAGCTGGTATACAAGGATGCAGGGCAGAGAGGGCCCAGGGACTACTCTGTCTCTCCTTCCCTCTGCTCATTTCACATGTTTATTGAGCATCTACTATAAAAATAAGTTGTAAAAGCTGAAGAGTGAGCGAGCCGCAGGGACCCACAGGTCTCTCTCATTCTGGTCCACTGCTCACTTAATCAGGCTCTGCCACTGGAGAGGGGTCAGCGGTGAGTGAAGAAGCTTGCTCCTATCTCAGCAGCTTTTGTGTGGTCATTGCCAGCGCTTTCGTTGGCCATTAATCCTTCAACTAGCTGTCAGTCTGGGATTGGGGAAATGTGTTATTTTTGACTATTTCTTGATATTTTTAATTAATTCAAAGCACTCACTGTCAGCCAAGTAGTTAGTTTGGAATACAGGTCTCTTACGTTTTAAAAGTTTTTGTTTAAAGAAAGGATTTCTTTGAATTAGTTCATCTCAGATGACAAAGTATGGACTTGACAGTAGCAGCAAACAGTGCCTTTGCCTGCCGTGTTCTCTTCTGATCACCGGAAGAGTGTTCTGTGGATGTGCAAGTGAAAAGCCATGTCTTCCTTGTCACTGGGAGAAGAGCTAAGAGCCTGGCCTGCTGAGCATTCTAGCAGCCTTATCATCAGCACTCCTAGCCGCTCCTGAGGAACGGGGGCCCTGCAGGGAAACCTGCTCGGGAAACCGGAACAGAGCCCAGCACGTCAGGACTGGTGATGATGAGCGTGGCTGGGGCTTTTCCGGAGAAGGTTTGCAGGCATGGCTCTCCACCATCTCTTTCTCGTAGGTTTCCTTTGCTTGGCATTGCTTTGAGTTTGCTGGTGAAGTAGCTGTAAAGGTAAACTTTTTTTTCTCTCTTTCTTCCTTTTACAAAGAGTAATTTGTAACTTGAAAGCGGTTTCCACTTTTTGTATACAAGCTCTGTTCCATTCTGGGCAGCCAGTGACAGGATGTCATCCCGCGCCACTGAGTTGTAGGCAGGTGGAGAGGAGAAGCTTGAGCTGCGGTGGTTTCTGTGGAGGCTAGGGAAGGGAGGAACTCTACCACACACTGTTTGGAGTTTAGGAGAAACTTTTGTCTTGTCTTCAACTGACAACAGGCATTTGTGAAGAGGTGTGTGTGCAGTCAGTGTTACCCAACGGAACGCACAGCCCAGGAGCAGCTGAGCATCTGGGAATACAGGAGAGGAAACACACTTCCTCCCCTCCCGACTGATGGGAATGTAGCCGCCCTCCTGCTGGCCCTGCACAGGGCCCAGTGTGGTGGAGTTTGTGGGGAAAGGCCCCTCTCCTCCAGGCACCTTCTCTGGCTGGCCACAGCCAGGGCAAGGGGGCACGTATCTCAGGCACCCTTCCTTGGGGCTCTCCTGGCTCCTTCTGAGGCCGCACGGTGCCTTGACACCAGTGCCCTGGTTACTCTCCAAGCAGCAGGTGAACTGTGGGTTAGCGGGCTCGGGCTGTGGCACCACAGTGCTGGTGATTGAATACAGACTGCAGGTGAATGGGGAGGGCCTCTCTGGGGCCGCTGGCCTGTGCTTACTGACTCAGCTCTGATTGAAGACAGACTGCAGGTGAGTGGGGAGGGCCTCTTTGGGGCTGCTAGCTTGTGCTTACTAACTTGGCTCTCCCAGCTGCCTTCAGGGGTCCTCCTCTCTGACCGAGATAAAATCTCGTGAGTGTGTGTCTCTGCAGGAATGTGAATGGAGTGATGATGACCTTGTTTTTCTTCTTTCTTTTCTTTGCCGCATGGGAGGATGTTACTGGTGGTTGACAATTGATTCTGATTATGAGGACACCCAGGCTGAACTTGCTTGAATCTCTAGAGTTCTTTTAACAGCCTCATTGAGGTATAATTTACATACCATAAAGTTAACTTAAGTTTGCAATTAAATAATTTTTGGTAAAATTACAGGGCTGAGTAACCATCACCACAGTTTAATTTGAGAACTTTGCTATCATGCCCCAGAGAAGCCTCATGTCCACTGGCACTGCTCCCCATCCCCACCTCCAGCCTCGAGGCGGCCACCAGTCTCCCGCCATCTGTGTGGGTGAGCTGAATCATGCAAATGGAATCCCAGTACACGGGCTGTGTGCCTGTCCTATGCGGCGCAGTGTTGCGAACGTCCATCCATGGCGTTGCGTGTGTCTGCAGCTCCGTCCTCTTCATCACCAAGTGCAATTCCGTCCTGGGGAGATGTGCATCTGCCACTCTCCTTCCACCACTGATCCGCGGTTTGTGACTGTGACTTTTAGGACAGTGAGCTGGGCCTGTTCCTCAGCCGGGGGCCCCAGATTCCTGAGTTCATGGGCTGCCGTGTACCAGGCTCTGTGCTGGGGCGGAGGTCCAGAGATGGAGACACAGCCATTCCCGCTTTCCTAGAGCTGTCAGGCTGGTAGAGAAGGGCCCCAGGCAGCAGGAGAATTGAGGAGTGGGTGAGTGCGGCCAAAAGCAGGGGGCTCGGTTAGAGCAGGTATGAAGGGCTTTTCCAAGAGGGAAGGAGGAAGGAGGTGGCCCAGGAAGAAGCAGCAGCACATGCGGAGGTGTGAGCAGAGAAGCCGGCTGGCCCAGGTCTGCTGTATCTCCAGCGGGCAGCCCTGGAAGGTCTGGTTTCAGGAATAGCCTCTTTCCATCAGGGCTCCACCAGGGCACTCTTAGGCCTGGGTTTCAGAGGTGTTTGCCTAGGGTGGTGTTGCATTCAGAGTCCTCTTCTTTAAAAAAAAGTTTTCCATCATCCCTCCCGTTTCCAAATTAACCTTAAAAAGAGCAGTGGTCGGCCAGGTGCAGTGGCTCACGCCTGTAGTCTCAGCAGTTTGGGAGGCCGAGGCGGGCGGATCACGAGGTCAGGAGGTTGAGACCATCCTGGCTAACACGGTGAAACCCCGTCTCTACTAAAAATACAAAAAATTAGCCGGTCGTGGTGGCGTGTGCCTGTAATCCCAGCTGCTCGGAAGGCTGAGGCAGGAAAGTCACTTGAACCCGGGACGTGGAGGTTGCAGTAAGTGGGGATGGCGCCACTGCACTCCAGTCTGGGTGACAGAGTGAGGCTCCATCTCAAAAAAAAAAAAAAGCAGTGGTCGTGGATACATGGAGCCCTTTTTAGAATGAGCCTCCCCGTAAACCCCTAGCGACACCCCTCCCATTTCTCCTGCTCGGACTGACTACTAGGAACCCTTGCACAAGTGTCCTTGAAGCTGGGGGTGAGCCCACCAGGGGAGCTGCAGACGGCCTCCCCTGGTCGGGGGCTGGTAGACAGCAGGGCTGCGTTTCTCATCACGAGTGTATCTGAGACAGCGCAGCCCCCACCTTTGCCACCACCAAGTGCCACCCTTGTGTCCTGGCTCATGAGGGCCTCTTCCCAGCCCTGGGAAAGCCAGCCACCCTAGGGGTCTGCCTGCCAAGTGCTGCTGTCAGATCGAGCAGGGGCTTGGTGTACCACCAGACCCCCTCTCCAGAGGAAGCTGTGGTCTCTGCTGCGGTCATCCGGTACGGGAGGAGGGGTGTTGAGGCCACTGTGAGGGAGGACCCCTGTGCCATGCCCCTGTCACCCCAGTGTTTCTCCTTTGTCCACACAGCGGTCTGGGTTAGAAACACCAGGGCCCACTGCAACTTTTGTTAGGGCCACTTAGTGCTGGTTGGGAGCCACAGGGCCGTGGCCTTTGTTTCTCCGTGGTGATTACTGCTTGTGCAGCCTCCTGCCAGTGCTAGACCTGTCTGGAAGGGAAGGGCGTGTGCTGTTCCCGTCTGTCTTTGGCCAGAAGAGCCTCCCATTCTTTGCCTTCACCATGTTTGTTTTTTTCTGCACAGGATTTCTCCTGGCTGGGGCACACCCATTGGTGTTCAGTGGAAGTAGAAACAATTGGAACAAACAAAATGTGGAAGCTTAAAGAGAAAAGAAGGAGATGGTGGGCAGGGCTTCCAGGCCACGTGTGATCTGTGGCACTGCTTGGCCTGTGGACTGTGGCCACAGTCGCGTTGCTGTCCCTGGCTCCCTTCTCTTTGAAGGTCTCCTTTGCCAGCGCACACGGCTCCCTGGGCTGGAATGTCTGTTCATTCATCCCTGCAGTTGTTTGCGGATGTCCCGGGGCTAACGTGAGTTAGTTAATGTGAGTGAGTTAAGTGCCGCAGCTCCTGTTTTTCGCCCTGCGTGGTGGTGATTTTGGTCTGTGTCATCGAGCATTTCGCTGTGGTGGGCGGGGAGGCAAAGAGCTCCCACAAAGGTATGCAGCTTTTCCCTGCAGAAAGCAGGCAAGCTGGAGGGTTGGAAAGCATGGAGGCACCATGCTGTTTCCCTTTTGCCCGTGACCTTTGCGGGTTGGGAGACTTTTCTTCCAAGCACCCTTTCAGCAGCGCCTTTTCCCCTCCAGACATGGTGGCTGTGCAGGCTGTGGGCTGGCAGACCCTATCCCCACAGCAATGCAATCTCAGGAGCCCAGGTGGGGCTGTTGTCTCGGGGTTTGGCCTGCACCGTCTACGGAAGCTCCTAACTCCTGCTTTGCTGGGACTTGTCCTCAGCCCATGGAAAGGCCTGATGGTGCCAGGTGGCCCTGAGGAGCCAGATGCCTGAGCCTGGGGCCAGGCCTGGGCGTGAGCCCAGGAGCATAAAATTAGCTCCGGCGTGGGTTGAAAGCTGCTGGCGTGAGCATGGCTTGTCTGTGTTGAGTTTGTCTTGCACAGCCCTGGCCTCTCCCCACAGCCTGCGGCCAGCCCTCTACATGGGCGGCCGCTCTGGGTTCCTCCTCCCGGCACATCTGCCCTTCTGCTGCGTGCCCTGTTCTTTGTGCCACATGTGACAGGACCATTTGTCATAGCAGTGGTGTCATGAAATACAAGAGTGTGGGCCTGAGAATCTGGGTTGAGTCAGGTTCCTGTTGGAGGCCTGCATGCGCGCAGCCTGCTCTGAGTGCTCCGGACACGCGTGAACAGAGGCAACAGGAGCCACCCCTGGGCAGCTTCCCCACTGCCGAGGGGGACGGGAGTAAGGAGGTGTGGGATGGGGTGCCTGGAGGGGGTGCGTGGGAGAGCTGTTTGAATAGGAGCTCTAGAAGGCCTCTTTGAGAAGGTGCTGTTGAGCTGAGACCTGCGGAGGTGAGGGAGGGGACTCGCCATGCAGGCCTATGGAGGGAGCCCTGGCTCCCTGGTGCTTTGTCTCAGAAGGGCTGCCTTTGCCTCCTCCCCCTCATGGTTCCAGGGACACGTGGGTTTTTATTTAATATTTTTCAGTCGATTGTCGTCTTTAATAATATTTTGATGAATGGGCTGTGTCAAATTTAGCCAGCAGGAGCGCATGTGACTCAGCTCCCGTATCAGTTGAATAGACGAAGGGGCAGGGAGGGAAGCCTCTGTGAGCAGGAACTGGTGAGCCTGGCTGTGTATCACCTGGATAACCTCTGAGCTGAAGAGCTGTGCCAGCA
Source organism: Homo sapiens (assembly GCF_000001405.40). Classification (NCBI taxonomy): domain Eukaryota; kingdom Metazoa; phylum Chordata; class Mammalia; order Primates; family Hominidae; genus Homo; species Homo sapiens. Next base: position 8,053 of record NT_187657.1, on the reverse strand, counting down.
AAGCCCTTGAGCTCATGTGGGCATGGGGGACAGTCTGAGGACAGGAGGAACAGCAAGGAGACCTCAGGCTGCGCTCAGGAGGCTTCGGTGGCAGGTCAGATTGCTCTTACAATTTGGCAACCATCTTATGAATATTGTGGGTTAAAAGAAATAATCAGTGTCACCGGTAGCCAAGTTTTTAATGTTAAAAAAGATGACAATATAGAATAAAATGAACCCCTGCAGGGTTCCGTGGGGAGTATTACCATGAGAGCATCATTCTGTGCGTAGGCTGTGCTCCCTGCCAGCGGTGGGCTTCCCAGCAGGCGGCCTTGGCTCTGCGTGTGACATGCTCAGCCTGCAGCACCGTGTGCCCTCCTGAGCAGCTCTGCTCTGGTGGATGCTCTCAGCAGAAAACACACAACTTCGTGGTCCCCTCTTCTGCCCCTGGGTGGGCCAGGGTGCGGGTGTGCATCCCATGCCCAGGACTGCCAGGCAGGCCGCATGGTCAGCCACCAGGGTCAGGTGTCAGGCGCTGCTCCAGACGCGTGCGTCTCTGATCTTGGGCATGGCTCAGCAGCCTCCGGCTTGGCCGTGGGTGGTTCCTGCTCACCTGTTTCTGAGTGACCAACCCTGAAACTTCTGGGCCTAACATGAGGCCTCATCACCTTTCCCGCATCTGTGGGCTGGTGGGTGGGGCTCTGGCCCCACAGGTTATTCCTGCACTGCCACCCGTGGTGGCTGGGCTGGCAGCCCTCAGGGGCCTTGCTGTCATGGGTGTCTGCTGGGGTGCCACAGTTTCCCCCACATGGATCTCTCCAGGCAGAGTTTTATATCCTCACCCTAGAGCAGAGTTTTTGGACTTCTTGCTCTCAGGACCCCTTAAAGTCCTTGTTGAGGCTGGGCATGGTGGCTTCTGCCTGTAATCCCAGCACTTTGGGAGGCCAAGGTGGGAGGATCACTTGAGACTGGGAGTTCAGGACCAGCCTGAGCAACATAGGGAAACCCCATCTGTACAAAAAAGTAAAAAGAATTAGCCAGATGTGATGGTGTATGCCTCTAGTTCCAGTTGTTTGGGAGGCTGAGGCGGGAGGATTGCTTGAACCCAAGAGGCTGAGGCTGCGGTGAGCTCTGCACCGCTGCACTCCAGTCTCAGTGATAGTGAGACCCTGCCTCTAAAATTAAAAAAAAAGTCCTTATTGAGTTTACATGATGGAGCTATGAATATTCATCTTTCAGAAATTAAAATTGAGAATGTAAAACAACTTTAATTCATTTAGAAATAATTAAAAACCCAGTATATCTTAACATAAGTAATATTTTTAAAATTAAAAAAAAAACCTATTATCTTCTAGAGTCAAATAAATAGAGTGGCTTTACTTTTTGCAAATCTCGAGAGCTGGATCTGTCAGGTTCTGTGTTTATCCTGCTGTAATTTTACAGGCCAGGTGGCTTCCACAAGGCTTTGGCACATGGCACCTTTGTGGTACTGTAAAGACAGTGCTAACCTCATGGTCCCAGACCACACTTTGGGCTCTAGGACTCCCCACGTGGCCTCTCTTTGCCTCTGCCGGGACGGCCTTCATCCCAGGAGAGCCATCATGAAAATGGCTGGAAGACAATACATCCTTTCAGCCACCTTCTGTTGGTCAGGGAGTCACGGAGCCACCTGGATCTGGGGGTGGGAGTGGTTAAGAGTGGACAGCCTGCCTCTGGATGGAGGAGGGCTCTAGGAGGCCCTGGTCCTCCTGCCTCCTTCAGGAGGCCCTGGCTGGTCACCTCAGAGACCAAGGCCTTTTCTCTCTCCCTCTAACTTCTGGGCAGGGCTCGGCCCTCCTCACGGGCTACCTTCCTCTTCCTGCCATTTAGTTTTCCTCCCAGGGCGTGCAGCCCGGCACTACTGTGGGCCATGGGGTTGTGCAGGTGGGGCAGGTGCTGTCTCCGGGTACCACCGAGGGCTGCCGAGGCAGAGCCAACACTGGACAGCCCGCGTTTCCATTGCTGAGCTTTCATGGTGCCCGCTCAGGTGAGCGTCGGCCTGTGCAGGCCATGGCCCAACGTGTTCTGTGGCTTCACCCAAGCTTTCAGCTTGATTCAGTCCAGTGTCACTGTGACAGGGCTTCAGTGTGGCCCGGGAGACGCCTCTAGGGAGAGGCTGCTCAGGCAGCCCCTCGTTTAGGAAGAGTTCCTGAGCCCTAGTCGCCGGTCTGAGGGGGTGTCGGTACTCAGTGCTGGCCTGGACTGTCTTGGGAGGTATGGGGAGCACACCCCGGAACCCACCGAGCCACACTGCCTGGGACTTACCAAGCAGCAAGCTGGCCCTAGCAAAAATGGCAGAAATCGTATAAAACAGGCTACGAGCAGATAAGCTGCTCCTGTGTGGCTGTGTCCGCGGTGTTTTCAGAAGCCGCTGTTTGTGGGCTTTTGTCCTTTCTCGTGTTTGGTCAGGCTTCTCTGTGGAGGCACTGCACGCCCCTTCACCAGACGTCTCTCTGCACTGGCAGTGGTCTTACCAGCCCTGGGTGGGTTCCTTGGCTACTCAGCAAGACAGACCCCACAGGGCTTCCCAAGTGCCATTCTCTGACTCAGCAAACGGGACCTCAGCATGGGCCCAGTGGTCTCCAACAGGGAAGGAAAGGTGCATGGGAGGTGAGGTTTACTGAGCCGGGTTTCTGGCCCCACAGGGTGGGTAGAGGGAACCGCGGGCAGGGACAGCGGGACCCTTCCCTGTCACCGCAGCTCCCTCTGGGTTGATGCTTTTGTAACAGTGGGTAGCGCTGGCTGGTGGAGTCCAGGAGTGGTGCTGAGGGTGGGGCTGACCCGCACCTGCCTCTGGCTCCGCAGGGCCTGGCCTCAGGTTGTTGTGCTCAGCAGCCATTCATCTTCCCAGCACCCATTGGACCCTGCTGGTGTCCTATGTGCCTTGTCCTGCGGGGGTGGGGGGACCTTAGGAGGAAGGACACATCCCTGCTCACCTGGGACTTGGTGTTACATGTCCATTGTAGAGACACAAAATACAGGAAAAAAAACCCAGAAAATCAAAAGCAAATCCTCCTACCACCCAGCGATAGTCTGTACTTAACATTAAAACCAGCCTCACTCTGTAGTGGGACTCTTGCTACCCAGGGGAGTTGTCCACTGCTCCCCTGCCGGTGGGAATGGGGACGTTCCCAGGTTGTGTGATGCTTCCCAAGTCCCTGGGAAGGGAGCGTGGTGCCAGTGCTGGTGTTTCCACAGGTCGGTGCCCGCCACTTGTGTTGGTCTTTTCTGAAGAAGATCTTTGCCACGTTGACAGGCAGAGAGCGGTGCCAAGGTTTAGTCCGTGTTTACTGCAGGAGGGCTGATATGGCCGATGCTTCTATGCACGGTGGGCCATGCCATTATCTGCTTGGTCTTTGCCTACTTTGTCTTGAACTGGTCCAGTTTTCTTATGACTGGCATGGGTTCTCTTTAAGGGTATTAATCTTGAGTGTTAAGATTTTAGAGCTTGTTCTTAAAGAGAAAAGTAAAAGCCCAGGCGGAAACGATGGGAAGTGCTGGAGCCCGAGGCAGTGTCTCCACGACTCCCCTGGCCTGCAGAGGGGCAGAGGACAGGTACACTGCGAGCCAGCCCAGAGGGCCAGGGAGAGCCGGGGGCCGGGGGAGCTGGGGGCCAGGGGGCAGCCTGGGAGGGCGAGTGCCAGGAAGCCTTGGGCACCTGCTGGCCCTGGGCCCGCTCCTGCCCTTGGCTGGCGCCTGAGGGATGCTCTTCTTTTCACCATCCCTTACTTTTTATTTTTTATTTTATTTTATTTTTTTTTTTGAGACGGAGTCTCACTCTGTTGCCCAGGCTGGAGTGCAGTGGTGCGATCTCAGCTCACTGCAACCTCTGCCTCCTGGCTCCTGCCTCAGCCTCCCCAGTAGCTGGGATTACAGGCGCCCGCCACCACAACTGGCTTTTTTTTTTTTTTTCTTTTTGTATTTTTAGTAGAGACGGGATTTCACCAGGTTGGTCAGGCTGGTCTTGAACTCCTGACCTCGTGATCCACCCGCCTCGGCCTCCCAAAGTGCTGGGATTATAGGCGTGAGCCACCATGCCAGGCCTGTCCCTTACTTTCTTTTACAGCCTCCCACCTGCCTCCTTTCTGAGTGGCTGGAGCTGTGCGCTGGTTAGTTCCTCTGTCAGGAAGAAATCCAGGCCACGCTGGCACCTGACACCACTGACCTGTTCAGGACTTTGGTATGGCCTGGTACAGGTTGGGACCACGTTTAGTCACTGAGGCTCCTCAGAGCATGGAGACGGCAGTGGGCACGGGGCCACGCAGAGGGCTTAGGGCCATGTTTCTCACCGTCTCTCAAGAAACACTAGTCCTCCCAGACAACCAGGTGAATTCAGGAAGCCCCAGGTAAAGTCTGAGGCCCTCTTGGAAGCTCAGTGGATGGCAGTAGTTACAGGCTCTGAGCAAGGGAACCGTGGTTGACTGTGTGACCTGTAGTTGCCACTGCCCGGCCGCTGCCACCCGCTGTTCCCACCCAATTCCTACTCCCGTTGCCCGCCCTCAGCCTGTTCTTAGCTGTCAGAGGGGATGGTGGAACGGGAGCAGCCAAGAGAATTTAAAGCCGCCGATGGTCCACAGGCACCACCCCCAGTGCCGACGGGGGTGCAGGCCTGGTGTCTGCCCGGCTGTGCTCCAGAGGTGATTTTACTCCCCACCGGGGAGTCGGGTATTATGCCCTCAGAGATCCTCTTTTCATGCCACGGGGCCTCTGGGATGTGTGGCCTGAGACTGCCTGGGGCTGGTGGGTAGCTGTGTGGCGGGTGTGCAGTTGAGGCTTGCTGCTTCCTTGAGGGCAGAGTGGGCACCTTCATTTCCCAAAGCTGGCTATCTCTCCCTTCGTGACAGCAGCGTTTTCTGCTGAACAGTTTCCTGTGTCCTCCTTGCCTTCATAAATGTGTAACAAATACTGCTTCAGGGCAGGCTTCATCTTCTCCACAGACCCACACGTACCCCTGCTGTACCTGGCGTGCCCAGGGCAGGGAGCAGGCGCTGGATGGGTCTGACCACCCAGGGTATGCCTCTGCCTGGCCAGCTGGCTGCCTCCTGGACACCTGGACGCAGAGCTTTCTGAGATGAGCTCTGCGTTGGGATGCACAGAAGGGATTTGCTTCCTCTCGTGCTTGGGGTCTTGGGAATGCTTTTTTTTTTTTCCCCTGAGACAGGGTCTTGCTCTGTCATCCAGGCTGGAGTGCAGTGGCATAATCATGGCTCACTGTAACCTCCGCCTGCCTCCCAGGTTCAAACGATTCCCATGCCTCAGCCTGCTGAGTAGCTGGGATTATAGGCACATGCCACCAGGCCAGTGTAATTTTTTTTTTTTTTGGATGGAGTTTTGCTCTTGTTGCCCAGGCTGGAGTGCTGTGTCGCGATCTCGGCTCACTGCAGTCTCCGCCTCCCGAATTCAAGCGATTCTCCTGTCTCAGCCTCCCTAGTAGCTGGGATTACAGGCGTACTCCACACCTAGCTAATTTTTGTATTTTTAGTGGAGACAGGATTTCGCCATGTTGGCCAGGCTGGTCTCGAACTCCTGACCTCAGGTGATCCGCCCGCCTTGGCCTCCCAAAGTGCTGGGATTACAGGTGTGAGACACCCGCGCCTGGCCAAATTTTTCTATTTTTAGTAGAGATGGGTTTTCACTGTGTTGGCCAGGCTGGTCTTGAACTCCTGGCCTCAAGCAGTCTGCCCACCTTGGCCTCCCACAGTGCTGGGATCACAGGCGTGAGCCACTGTGCCCTGCCTTGGGAGTGCTTTTTGACATTCACTCCTGCACTGTGAGTGTGGAGACCCAGGGGCTTTTCTGGAGGTGGCCACTGTCAGGAGGTTTAGAAACCCTTTTTCATTAAAACCTTTATCTTCAAGTACATTCTGTTATTCCTGCTGGGAAGGCCTCCTACCTTTTTGGCTGAAGAAGTGCTGGGCCAAGCTGAATTGTGTGAGGGTTCCTGGGTATTTATAATTCATGTGAAAATAAAAGTGTTGTTTTCTGTGACCCCGTGCCTCTCCGAGGCCCTTACTCCAAGGCAGACCGAAGGCAGCTCTGTGCTGACGACGCAGGATCCTGGCCCACAGTTGTCCTCAGAGACTTCTTGGTAGGAGTGGTGGTGTCTCGGGTGCTCTCCTGCCCAGCAGTCTTCCCTCCTTTGCTGTCTTCTCCTTGTTGGACACACAGGTTCTAAGTAGCAGCATTTGTGGTTTGTCGGCTCCCGAGCTCTTCAGTGTCCCCCGGAGTGCAGCAGGTCCCAGGGTTCACTAGCTAAGTGTCCTGGCTCCTGAGCTGCCCTGGTGGTGGAACAGGGACTTGGGGCCTGGGTGCCCCCCGAAACGTTTGTGGAGCTCATATCCCACTCCCACGAGGGTCTGGACAGGCCTGGGTCCAGGGACTTGCTATGCCATGCAGTGGCTGTCCACGAGGCACCTCTGTGAGGGCGGGGCGGGAGGCCTGTTCTGTCTGGGCCCACGGTGCAGTGTGGACTTCAAGGGCGTCAGTCTGTACTATGCTGGGGCCTGTGGCCACCTTCCTTCCCCTTCCCCAGCAGGCTGGGGATCAGCTCAGGTGATCCGCCCGCCTCAGCCTCCCAGAGTGCTGGGATTATAGGCGTGAGCCACCGCGCCTGGGCAGGTCATTTCATTTCTAATCAAAATAATGAAATGGGACCCGGTGGCTCACACCTGTAATCCCTGCAATTTCGGAGGCCGAGATGGGTGGATCCACCTGAGGTCAGGGGTTTGAGACCATCCTGGCCAACATGATGAAACCCCGTCTCTACTGAAATTACAAAAAATTAGCCAGGCGTGGTGGCATGCGCCTGTAATCCCAGCTACTCGGGAGGCTGAGGAAAGAGAATTGCTTGAACCGAGGAGGCAGAAGTTGGAGTGAGCCAAGATGTGCCACTGCACTCCAGCCCGGGCGACAAGAGCAAGACTCCATCTCAAAAAAATAAAAAATAAAATAAATAAAATGTCCCCCAAAATGACGTGTGGAGGGCTCTAGGGTGAGGATGGAGCCCTTTCAGATAAGGACCTTTTGCGTGGGTAGGTCCCTGTTACAGAGCCTGAAGTTGTGGTGGTGGCCTGTGTGTCCCGTGCCTCGAGCCTGCTGCTCAGGAAGGCCACGTCCTGCCTCCCCTCACGCCTCGCCATCCATGCCATGGGGCTCCATCCAGAAGGCTGTGAGGGTTTTGCTGGATTCCCTAAGCAAGCCCGCAGTTCCCTGGGCTGAGGCCTAGGCTCTTATAGCCATAGGCACCTGGCGGTGGCGGGGATGTATGTCCTTATCTTTGACTCATGCTCCACACAGCCACCTGAGAGGATCCACATGTCATCCTCCTATATACAAGGCACTTTGGTGGACCCCCATTGCCTGTGGGGTGAAGTCCCCTGTCTCTCTCCAGCCCCACCCTGTGTGGCCCATGTGCACTTCAGCCTGGCTGGCCCTCCAGTGTCTGCAGTTCTGCCGAGACACCTGGCCTGTGTGCACACATGTCCTTGCTGTGGCTGTTGTCAGGTCTCTGAGCTTCTTTCCTGCCACCTGTTGTGGGCACAGGGCTGTGACCTGCTGACTCCCGTCTGTCTTTCTGACCCCGTGCAAGCTTCTCTGGCTGTGGGCTCTCAGGCACTTGAACTCCAGCCTCCCTTGTGTCCTGAGCTTCAGGACTGAGACATAGGTGGGGGCAGGTGGAGCTTTCTAGTCACCGTCTGGAAGATGCTTGTCCTTCCTCTTCTTCCTGCCTTCCTGCGGCTCCTCGACAGCCCTTGGTGAGAACAGGGCTGCCCCATGGCTGGGGCCCCAGGAAGGTGTTGGAGGGTGAAGTTTGACCCCTGCCCTGGGCTAACACCAGGGAAGGACTTGGGGCCTGGGATGGTGGGCCTTTGTCCCAGCAGCTCAGCTGTACTCACAAGTCAGCATGAAGATTTCAAAGCCAGATTCACACATTTCACCTGACAGGAAGAATAGGGAACCCACCCCTGACAGGCTGTGTGCCCCCTTTACACGCTGATGGAACGTTGACCAAAACCTCCGCTTATCTCGGTGAATT